>NC_000015.10:90532187-90683702 GCF_000001405.40 Homo sapiens | reverse complement strand
TCTCAAACTCCTGACCTCAGGTGATCCAGCCGCCTCAGCCTCCCAGAGTGCTGGCGTTACAGGTGTGAGCCACCTGCCCGGTGGAAGCAGATTTCTTTAGCAGAGGCTTGTACTGTGGAGCCCGCCCCCAGCCACACCCATGGGGGAGGGGTGAGTGCGTCCTGCTTTCCTCAGATCAACTGAGGGGGACACTGGAACCAGGGAGACACAGAGGTGTCCGAATCACACCTCGAAATCTACAGGGGCGTGTGTATGTATGTTGTCTGCCTGTCAGTCCACTGGGCTTTGGGGTTTTTTTAGTTATTATTATTTTTAATTAAAAAAAATTGAGATGGGTCATCTTGCTGCGTTGCCCAGGCCGGTCTAGAACTCCTGGGCTCAAGCGATCCTCCCACCTTGGCCTCCCAAAGTGCTGGGATAACAGGCGTGAGCCACCCGCCTGGTGTATGTACTCTTCCCTCAGCATTATGTTTTTGGGATTCACCTATGTTTCATGTATCAGTAGTTCATAATATTACACTATTAACTTTTCTTTTTTTTCTTTTTTGAGACGGAGTCTTGCCCTATTGCCCAGGCTGGAGTGCAGTGGCGTAATCACAGCTCACTGCAGCCTCCACCTCCTGGGTTCAAGCAGTTCTCCTGCCTCAGACTCCTGAGTAGCTGGGATTACAGGTGCCTGCCACCATGCTCAGCTTATTTTATATTACACTATTAACTTAAAGCTTATGATAAATATTGTTAAATTCCCCTCCAGAAAAATGTGATCAAGTTTTTTTAATTTTTTTTTTTTTTATTTTTTAAGAGATGAGGTCTTGCCATATTGCCGAGGCTGTTCTTGAACTCCCAGGCTCAAGCAATCCTCCTATCTCAGCCTCCTGAGTAGCTGGGACCACCTGTGCATACCACCACACCCGGCTAATTTTTGTATTTTTTGTGGAGATGGGGTTTCACCATGTTGCCTAGGCTGGTCTCAAACTTCTGAGCTCAAACAACCCTCCCGGCTTGGCCTCCAAAAGTGCTGGGATTACAGGCGTGCGCCACCATGCCCAGCCATGCTGGGCTTTGAAAAAGGGCTGCATCAAGAGACAGATGAAGGTCAGTCAAATGTGTGCATTCCAGATGTGGGTCACAAGCATGAGAGAGAGCGGCTGGCTGTTGGTCTAGATCAGTGGTTCTCACTGAGGGTGATTTTCCACCTGAGGGGATGTTTGGCAACGTCTGGAGACATTTTTGATTGTCACAACTAAGGGGTATTACTAGTGGGGGTCCTCTAGTGGGCAGAGGCCAGAGGTGAGGGGGGGATAGGAGGGCCTTGGAAGTTTGAGAGAGTGAAGAATTGAAGTAGTCATCCCATAAGTAGGGGAGCTAGGTGACACACAGTAGGTTGCCAAGTGTGGTGATGGCTACAGGCAAGATGTAAGAAAATGAAGGTTCCAGAGGTGGAGCCAGGACAGATTCCTGGAGGCCATTCGGGGGAGGGGGCTTCGATAGGATCCCCTAGTAGAGCCTGTGTACACTGGGGTCCATGACCCCGGCCCCTCAGCAGAGCTTCGCTGAAACCTGGAGTGGCACTGAGGATCTCTGGGAACAGTTCCTTCTTTTTTTTTTTTTGAGATGGAGTCTTGTTCTGTTGCCCAGGCTGGAGTGCAGTGGTGCAATCTCAGCTCACTGCAACCTCTGTCTCCCAGGTTCAAGCAATTCTCCTGGTTCAGCCTCTGGAGTAGCTGGGATTACAGGCACGTGCCATCACACTCAGCCAATTTTTGTATTTTTAGTAGAGACAAGGTTTCACCATGTTGGCCAGGCTGGTCTTGAACTCCTGACCTCAGGTGATCCTCCCACCTCAGCCTCCCAAAGTTCTGGGATTACAAGTATGAGCCGCCGTGCCCAGCCAGTTCCATTTTCTCTATTGCTGAAGGTCCTAGTGGTCACTCGTCCAACCTCCACATTCCTCAATGGCCCACATCAGATGAGTCAGTTCCTTCATCAGTGATGGCAGTGATTGCAGGGAACGCTCAGCCTCCTTGGCTCTGATTCTGCCTTACCAGAAGGGAGCCCTTCTGACTTGACCTCGTGGGTGCCATCGAGTGTGGTTCCAGCTCCGCATGTTCCTGACTACTCCTGCACAAGTCTGGGAGGTGAGGGATGTGGGAGGCGCAGCTCTCAGAGCCTCTTACAGAAACAACCAGCCTGGTGCTGCGGTGGCAAGAAACAGACACTGACCCCCGACCCCAAGGGAAATTCACAAGAAGGCTATGGAGTCCCTCACAACATGGAAGGGGAAATTGAAGAGCCTGGTCTGGAAAAGACAGAAAACAGGGAGGCCGTGGGGACCTAGAAGCTGGAACCAACTGAGAGTCTCATCTGGCCACACTGTAAAGATGTGTCAGCCCCAACCTCTTCTTGGCTTTTGCTTCCTCCATTCAAGGGTCAGAGTCTGAGTGCCTAGGTGGGCCCAGAGCCTTCCCTCTCCAGCCTCCCTGCTGCCCCAGAGAGGACAAACACCATTTCTGACTCCCCTACATACTCAGAGTGCATTCTCAGGATCACAGTAGAGGAAGGACTGAGAAAATAAGTGCTCATGAGGCTGATGGGCTGCCTTAGCTTTATCAGCAGCAGAAGAATTCTGGGATGCTCACCTCCCAGAAGACCCTCCACAGTTCCCAAGAGCCTCTTCATCCATAATGAGGGTGACAAAACTTCTCTGAGTCACAGACAGCTTTGAGACTGGGATGGAAACAGAGGATTGCATAAGTTTCAGGGGGCTGCTGGACCCCCATTCCTGAATCCTAACTCTGGGACACCTTCTCCAGCCCGTGTCTGCCTGGCTTAGCTGCAGGCCTCATACACTGTCTCCCTAGGACCTGCAGTTGAACCATTCCATGCTCACGGACACGTGGATTACATGAGCAGGGCCCTAGGCCTCCTCCTAACCTCAGATTTTTTTTTTTTTTTTTCTAAAAGGGCAAGGCACTATTTTAGTCACTGTTTTGCAGGGAGAAAAAAATCCTGTTTATCCTTATGATTCATTTTGGTGGTTTTTGGATAATGTTGTATTGATTCATGACGACTCACTCAGCATCTGGTATGAATTAAATGAGACTTTCTCTTTTTGACAGTAAAATGAAAGATCTTAAACAACGCTAACATTAAAAAGAGGCCTGGAGGGAATACAAGAGTTGGAGCAATCCTGGGGACTTGAGTCAGTTCAGTGGGATGCCCTACCACCTTGGCAAAGCCAGCACAGTGCCATGCAGTTCCAGGGCAGTGCTGCTTGTGACCTTATGTCTGCTCCTCATGAGTACCACGATGACTCCTTGCAGGTCCCATTGCTTCCCACCATATGCTGTTTTATCTTGTAGTCATGATCCCAACTGGACAAATGGGGAAACAGAGGCAGGAAGCTGGCATGGATGTGACATCAGGAGTCAGATTTTCTCTGGTTTGTTCCAGGAAGTTTTCCGTAGAATCCCAGAGGACATCCAGTGATTCTTAACGGGGGATGATTTTGGCACCCCCAGGGGTATTGGGCAATGTCTGGAGGCATTTTGGTTGCCACAACTAGGGAGGTGCTACTGGCATCTACCTGCAGTGTCAGAACAGCCTCCAAAGAACAAAATGATCCAGCCCACATGTCAATAGTGCCGAAGTTGAGAAACCCTGCTCTAACCCAAAGGGACTCCAAATCCCAAGTGATGTGGTGGTTGTCAGGGCATTAGCAGACTTAATGCAAAGGCCTCTCAATATGGCAAAACAGATTGTCTGAAAAATTATGTAATTTTTGTGTTTAAAAAGAGTAGAACCTGGGCAACATAGCAAGACCTTGTCTACAAACATATTCAGGCTGAGAAAATGAAAAATAAAAAAAGACCCTGTCTTGGCCGGGTACGGTGGCTCACGCCTGTAATCCCAGCACTTTGGGAGACGGAGGCAGGTGGATCACAAGGTCAGGAGTTCAAGACCAGCCTGGCCAGTATGGTGAAACCCTGTCTCTACTAAAAATACAAAAATTAGCTGGGCGTGGTGGCACGTGCCTGTAGTCCCAGCTACTCAGGAGGCTGAGGCAGGAGAATCACTTGAACCTGAGAGGCGGAGGTTGCAATGAGCCGAGATCGTGCCACTGCACTCCAGCCTGGGCAACAGAGTGAGATCTGTCTCAAAACAAAAGACCCTGTCTTTACGAAAACAAACAAACAAACAACAACAAATATATATAGAGAGAGACAGAGAGAGAGTGTCAGGTATGGTGGTATGTGCCTGTGGTCCCAGCTGCTCAGGTGACTGAAGCTAGTGGATCCCTTGAGCCCAGGAGTTCAAGGCTGTTGTAAGTCGTGACTGCCATGCACTCCAGCCAAGGAGACAGTGAGATCCTGTCTCAAAAAAAAAAAAAAAAAAAAAAAGTATATATCTTGCCTAGATCATGGTCTCTGTATGTCATTCTCTGCTAAAAGAAACTAGGGCTCCTGCCAAATGGCCAGTCCAAGGTTGGGGCAGCTGAACAAGGAAGGTATCATCACTATGGAGTCTGATTAAAAGGACACAGGGGTTCATGTGAAAAGGCTCTCTCTGACCAAATACAGGATGATTTGAGCAACAAAAAGAACAATGCAAGTATGTTAAAATTCGTATTTGTAAGTTGAAAGAGGAGCTTGTGATCAAAAGATGAAAATGTTCCTTGGCCGGGCATGGTGGCTCACACCTGTAATCCCAGCACTTTGGGAGGCCGAGTCGGGTGGATCACCTGAGGTCAGGAGTTTGAGACCAGCCTGGCCAACATGGTGAAACCCCATCTCTACTAAAAAATACAAAAAATTAGCCAGGTGTGGTGGTGGATGCCTGTAATCCCAGCTACTCAGGAGGCTGAGGCAGGAGAATCGCTTGAACCTGGGAGGTGGAGGTTGCAGTGAGCCGAGATTGTGCCACCGCACTCCAGCCTGGGCAACAAGACCAAAACTCCGTCTCAAAAAAAAAGAAAAGAAAAAAGAAAAGGTACCGCCAAATCATGTGACTTCTAGAGGTTTCCTTTATGAAAAAAAAAAAGTGGTGCTTCCATTACCTCTTAAACCCAGATGTTCTCATTTCCTTTAGTGTCAACAGTGGCGGAAAGGGAAGTTTGTATCACCTGTGTTAATGCTGCTCTGGAAAGGGAGCCAGAATGAGAGTGCACAGTGATCACACAGTCACCATCAAATAAACCATGACTACGCACATACTCTGGGATGGCTGCATCTCTCCTGTGGGAAAGAGAGAGATAGAAAGAGAGAGCAACATGTCATCCGATGACTGCAGCCTAGATGGATATGGCTGTGATAGAGTGCTTCAATTGGAATCTGCCTCTTGTAACTGAAAATTACTTTAAACAATAAAAAGAAGTTATTGACTCATAGTCAAGAAAGCTTGACAGTGCTGCAGTGCAGTCCTTGGACTACAGTGGTCCACAAACTGTTATTGGTCCACGATAAGATATCTATGTGGCTGCAAGATCCACGTGCATGACCCTTCTTTCCTACCTTGTTGATGATGCTACAGGATAACGAGAACACCTGGGTTTAAGAGGCATAGAAGAACCACTTTTTATAAAGGATACCTCCAGTGGATGAAGCTATATGATTCATCTTTATTGTGTGTTACAAAAGTATCAGTCAATAAAATAACAATAAAACTGAAAATGAAACGGAAAACTGCTGTTATTACAGACAGTTCGAAAAACAGTGGCCTAGAGTGGTGATTCCCAGTCCTGGCTGCTCAACAGAACTACCTGGTGAGCTTTGACAACTCCCAGTAATGAGGTTCATTCCCAGGGATTTTCATTTAATTGGCCTGGGGTGGGGCCAAAGCATGGCTAGTTTTAGAAGCTTGCCAGGTAGTTCTAATGTGTAGTGAGCGTTGAAAACTAGTGGTTTGGATTCAGGTTGGCCTCAGCTGAGGCTTTATCCAGTGGTCAGGAATGTCACCAAGGCCTGGTGGTCTCATAGCACTAAATGGTCATATTAGAAAAGGAGAAAGAACTCAAATCAATGACCTCAGCTTCTACCTCAAGAAACTAGAAAATGTTCAAGTTCTTCTGCTCTGACCTAAAAGGTGTAAAAAAATAAATGTAGGGGCCGGGCGCGGTGGCTCAGGCCTGTAATCCCAGCACTTTGGGAGGCCGAGGCAGGCGGATCACCTGAGGTCAGGAGTTTGAGACCAGCCTGGCAAACATGGAGAAACCCCGTCTCTACTAAAAATACAAAATTAGCCAGGCGTGGTGGCGCATGCCTGTAATCCCAGCTACTCTAGAGGCTGAGGCAGGAGAATCACTTGAACCTGGGAGGCAGAGGTTGTGATGAGCTGAGATCACGCCATTGCACTCTAGCCTGGGCAACAAGAGCAAAAACTCAGTCTCAAAAAAAAATTAAAAAAAAAAATTTTAAAGAAACTAGAAAAATAGAGCAAATTCATTCCAAAGTAAGCAAATAAAAGGAAATAATAAAGATCAAAGGGGAGAAATTAATGAAATGGAAAACACAAGAACAATAGAAAAAGTCAATGAAACTGAAAGCTGGTTCTTTGAAAATATCAATAAAATTGATAACTTCTAGCCTGACCGATTATGAAAAAAACAAAACAAAACAAAATACAAATTGCTGATATCAGAAATGAGAGAGGAGACATCACTACAGATTCCATAGATATTGAAAGGATAACAAGGGAACATTATAAACAACTTTATGCCAACAGATTCAATAACTTAGATGAAATGGATAAATTCTTGAAAAACTTAAGAGCTTACTCATGAAGAAATAGGTCATTTGAATAGCCTAATGTTAATTAAAGAAATTGAATTTATAGTTAAAAACCTTGTCACAGGCTGGGCATGGTGGCTTACACCTGTAATCCCAGCACTTTGGGAGGCCAAGGTGGATGGATCACTCAAGGTCAGGAGTTCAAGACCAGCCTGGCCAACATGGTGAAACCCTGTGTCTACTAAAAATACAAAAAATAATTAGCTAAGTATGGTGGCCTTTGCCTGTAGTCCCAGTTACTTGGGAGGCTGAGGCAGGAGAATTGCTTGAATCCAGGAGGCAGAGGTTGCAGTGAGCTGAGATTATGCCACTGCACTCCTGGGCAACAGAGTGAGACTCTGTCTCAAAAAAGAAAACAACAACAACCTTGTCACAAAGAAAACTCCAGGCCCACAATCTAAGACAGTAAACTGTGCCCAGCACAGGGTGGGAGGAGAGTGCTAGCAGCACAGCTTGGAAGGCAGGCAGCTCCTCTGGCTATGAAGTCGAGTTCACTTCCAGGCTAACTTGGACATATTGCAAAGAGATGTTTGATAAATTTGAAACTACAGTTAAATGGCAGCTAACAGCCTCTCACCCATCTTTCCCTAAGGAAGTACTTCAAGATGTCCAACAATCCAGTAGGGCTTTCATTTTATTTTCTTGACTCAAATGTGAGCCTGGTGGGTAGACGCATCTGAGCATTGACTTGTTAAGAAAAACTAACCTGGCCGGGCGCGGTGGCTGATGCCTGTAATCCCAGCACTTTGGGAGGCCGAGGCAGGCAGATCATGAGGTCAGGATATCGAGACCATCCTGGCTAACACAGTGAAACTCCGACTCTACTAAAAATATTAAAAAAAAAAAAAATAGCCAGGCATGGTGGTGGGTGCCTGTAGTCCCAGCTACTTGGGAGGTTGAGGCAGGAGAATGGCGTGAACCCAGGAGGCAGACTTGCAGTGAGCCGAGATCGCGCCACTGCACTCCAGCCTGGGAGACAGAGCGAGACTCCATCTCAAAAAAAAAAAAAAAAAAAAGAAAGAAAGAAAAAAGAGAAACTAACCCACACGGTAAAATAGACTTCTGCAGCTCACCAGCCAGCTAATACCAAACCTGATAACAACACACTGGTGTGGCCACAACTTTACTCCCGTTTTAAATGGCAATCCCTCCTCACCTGAATATTGGTGAAACCTTGGCTAGGAACAGCTTGGAGGCGTCAGTCCTAGTCCAGGCCCCTTTGTCATTATCCTGTGGTTTGTTCACTGACAGGTTTCTGTGTCCTAAGATAGCCACCCATTGGACTTGTCACCGTGTCTACGCTAACATATTAATGACCTAAGCTTTTGGTCTCGGTCTCTGCAATTGCTTGTATTTGTATCTCTAAAGTACAGTTCTCATCTCTCTTTTGTTGCTTTCATGATTTCTCTATTTGTTACTGCAATGTTGCAGTGCAGCCTGTTCACCCACCTGCAATGCACTGCACCACGGAACGCCCTCCTCTCTGGGCCAGCATGGTGGGAGGCGTGGGAAGGAAAGATCCCAGACTCAAGGGAGCAGGGAGCAGGTACTTAAGGGCAGGGAGAAGGGATGCAGTCAGAGATGAATGCTCTTAGTAATGTTTTCTTTAAACTAGATGATAGGGACATGGGTGTTTTGCATTATTTATGCCTTTTTGTATATTATATTTAATAATCACTTTTTTTTTTTGAGACGGAGTTTCGCTCTTGTTTGCCCAGGCTGGAGTGCAATGGCGCGATCTTGGCTCACCACAACCTCTGCCTCCCAGGTTCAAGTGATTCTCCTGCCTCAGCCTCCCGAGTAGCTGAGATTATAGGCATGCACCACTACGCCCGGCTAATTTTGTATTTTTGGTAGAGACGGGGTTTCTCCATGTTGGTCAGGCTGGTCTCAAACTCCCGACTTCAGGTGATCCGCCCGCCTCGGCCTCCCAAAGTGCTGGGATTACAGGCGTGAGCCACCGAGCCCAGCCCACTTTTTTAATAAAAAGAAAAGTCAGTATACATGAATATTAAAAACATAGTGCTGGGCAAAATTCACACCATCCTGTAGTGCAGAGCCCCCCTCTCCTTCCAGGGTAGCCATGAGATGAATAGTGACACCTTAGACTGGGCCCTTCACTGCTGCTGGACTCTTTTTGCAAATGGGGTCAGAGTCCTGGGAAATGCAGCCTTGGTGCAGAGAATAACGCTTGGGCATTTTGTGTGTATTCTCAGGTTGCAGATACCACAGACTCTGTCAAGAAGTGTGTTGGGGGCCAGGCGTGGTGACTCATGCCTGTAATCCCAGCACTTTGGGAGGCTGAGGTGGGAGAATTGCTTGATCCCAGAGGTCAAGTCTGTATAAGCCATGATCATGCCGGTACTCCAGCCTTGGAGACAGAGTGAGACCCTCTCTCAGAAGAAAAAAAAAAAGAAGTATGTTGAGGCTTCTCATTGCTCTGAAAAGGGAGTTCATGATAAACATGTTTGGGCTGGGGAAAAAAAAAAACAAGCACATAAACAAAATAAAAAACCCAACCCTTGTCCCTTGGTCTTTGAGTGACCAGTGATATTCCATCGCCGTGGAAGAAGAGAAGATGAATACTGGGGGAACACCCACAGTGCCTGTGACGCTTCCTACCAGCCTGCTCTACCTCCCTGGCCGGCTCTTTCTCCCTTCCTCCTACCAGCTTTTCTAAACCTTCTGTCAGCTCAGCATCCCTCCCATCCCTCTGCCATCACTAACCCCTCTCTTCCTATTGCACAGAACAAAGAGAATCCATCAGATGAGAGTTCCTTCAACTTCCTGATCTCTCCCTCCCAGCCCTCACCAGACACCCTGCTTGAATGCTCACCCCTTTCTCTCGAAGGCCAGTCCCTGCTCCTGGGCTCTCAATCCCACCCCTCCTATTGGCCTAGAACCGCAAAACCAGGTCTCTCCCACTGTCTCCAGACTCTCTGCCCACAGTGTGTCAGCATTTAAATATGCTCGTCTTTTCCATGAAAGGTGTTCCCTGGGGCCAGGCGCGGTGGCTCACACCTGTAATCCCTGCACTTTGGGAGGCCGAGGTGGGCGGATCTCTTGAGGTCAGGAGTTCGAGACCAGCCTGGCCAATGTGGTGAAACCCCATCTCTACTAACAATACAAAAATTAGGTGTGGTGGCACACGCCCGTAGTCCCAGTTACTAGGGAGTCTGAGGCGGGAGAATCGCTTGAACCCGCGAGGTGGAGGTTGCAGTGAGCTGAGATCATACCACTGCACTCCAGCTTTGGCGGCAGAGCAAGACTCTGAAGAAAGAGGGAGGGAGGGAAGGAAGGAAGGAGGGAAGGAAGGAAGGAGGGAAGGAAGGAAGGAAGGAAGGAAGGAAGGAAGGAAGGAAGGAAGGAAGGAAGGGCGGGCTCCCTGGACTCCATCTCCCCCTCCTGCCACCTGTCTCTCCGCTCTCCTTCGGCGTAAGCCAGGAAGCGCTCCCTTCTCTATGTCCACCACTTTTTCAGTTTCTTTAAAATAAGAAATGTGGTGGAAATGTCAAGACACCAAGAAACCTATACACCAGTCCTAAGGGTTCATTCTACTTTCCTTTTTCTCTCTACAACATCATACAGCCCTGGTTATTTCTACAGTGGCTTTAGTCCTCTCCTTTGGTGTACTTTACAAAAATATATCCAGGGAGAACTGGATTCTCCATCCTCTTGGGGAACCGACAGAGTATCCACAACCAGTCTATTTCAAAGGGAGGGGGTTGGGCTTGATGAGGTGGCTCACTCCTGTAATCCCAGCACTTTGGGAGGCTGAGGCGGGAAGATCCATTGAGCCCAGGAGTTCAAGACCAGCCTGGGGAACATGGCGAAATCCCATCTCTACAAAAAAATACACAAATTAGCCAGGTGTGATGGCGTGCACTTGTAGTCCCAGCTACTCAGGAGGCTGAGGAGGGAGGATCACCTAAGCCTGGGAGTTCGAGGTTGCAGGGAGTTAAGCCATGATCGTGCCACTGCGCTCCAGCCTGTCTGAGACACTGTCTCAACAAACAAGCAAACAAATGAAACAAAAGGAAGGAACCTGAACCTCTTTACATCTTCTTTTGGGAGCAGCGATAATCAGCAATGACGTGTTCCAATCATAATTCCATTTCCTCATTTAAGGCAGAACCCTCTCTGTTCAGTAATTGGCACAATTTGAGGACAAGAGTTATCCTAGGAACTTTCAGAAAAAGAACCCATATTAATTTTGTAACAAAGATGTAAAATGTGTCTTTGTGAGAAAGGGGCATACAGATTTTGGTGGGACTTTGAATCATACGCAGTCATAATTTGTTTTATCCTTTTTTCCAGAAAAATATGCAAAACAAAATAGCTGTGTGATGGTACTACAGGGTCTTTGGGCTTTTGGAGGAGAATATAACCAAAGGGCTCCCAGGACAGCGTCATGTTCAAGTGTCTAGAAAGTTTCATATGCACTCTGTGCTTTACTTTCTCATCACCTATTTTAGTCCATTCAGGTTGCTTTAGACTCCCATAGGCTTATAAACAACAGAAATGCACTTTCTCACATTCTGGAGTCTGGAATGAGATTGTGGTGCCAGCATGGTTGAGTTCTGGCAAGGGATGTCTTCTGGGTTGCAGATGGCCGAATTTTCTTTGTATCCTCATGTGATGGGGAGAGAGAGACAGAGTGAACTCTCTGGGGTCCTTTCATGGGGTAGTAATCTCACTGCTGGGGGCTCTTAGCTCATGACCTAATCACCTTCTAAAGGCTCACCTCCTAATACCATCACCTTGGGGGTTAGGATTTCAACAGATGAATCTGGGGAGGGGATACACATATTCAATCCACGGCACCTGTTCACTCTTCCCCCATCTGCAGTCCGACATCTGCCATCTTCCTTGTCACTAGACCCAGTGGACTCCCCATCATACTTGGCTTCCCAGCACCACCTGGCGTTTGGGGCCTCTTCTTCCTTGAAATCTCCCTTTACCCCACGTCTGTGACCCACACTTCCCAGGCAGCTCACACCCAGGCCTTAGCGGGGGTAGGCCCTCTTCCCTTCTCCCTCCACCCCAGTGTGGGACTTCATTCACTCCGTCATCTTTTTGGACAGTTCAATTAGGGGCTCCCAAGCCACTGGAAATCCAGGTGAGCCATGGATCTTGGAATTCCAAGGCCTCCCTGGGGTTTTGCTGTGATTCCCAGGGACTCTGGCCTCGTCTCCTCTTGGGATCTGACTTCCTGTGTGCTGCCTCTCTGTCTACTCCAGGTTCTGAAGGAAAACTCAACTTTGTCTTTGGTTCCCCCACAACATTTAATCACACCCCACTGTGGGGTCATTAGACTTTGCCAGAGGTCTTGGGGGCTGTCTAGGCAGGGGTCTTACCAGGACTGGCACAGCCTCTGCCATCTTGCTTCTTGCCTCCACCTCAGCTCCTCTCCCACTTTACCTTTCATTTTACTGCTGCAACTCCAAAGTCCTCCCTATTGTCTGAAGCATCTTCCCTCCTCTGAATCTTGAGATCGGCTGACACCCCGGCCCTCCAGAAGTGGGCGTTTCACCTTCCAAAGCAAGCTCTTAGCACGATTTTTTTCCCACACAAAGCCAATTTTTTAACAGAAATTTTACAGCCATAAAAAATTATATTTTTTTAATACAATTTAAAAAATATATATTTCTCCACCTTGTTCCTGGCCTTTTTCTCCTAAGCTTCAGCCCCACAGCTCCCACAGGCATCTGAAACTCGACGTGCCCAGATGAGAACTCATCTTTCTCCCTTCTAAGCTGGGCTGTTCTTTTTTTTTTTTACACAGAGTTTTGCTCTTGTTGCCCAGAGCTGGAGTGCAATGGGGCTATCTCACCTTACCACAGCCTATGCCTCCCAGGTTCAAGCGATTCTCCTGTCTCAGCCTCCTGAGTAGCTGGGATTACAGGCATGCGCCACCACGCCGGGCTAATTTTGTATTTTTAGTAGAGACAGGGTTTCTCCATGTTGGTCAGGCTGGTCTTGAACTCCCGACCTCAGGTGATCCACCCGCTTCAGCCTCCCAAAGTGCATGGATTACAGACGTAAGCCACTGCTCCCGGCCTGAGCTGTTCTTTACTCTCATGGTTGGCATCCCCATCCAACCAGGTCCCTGGGTGGCCTCTGACTTCTGACAAGTGACACTTCTTGCCAGAGGACTACCCCGAACTCACTGGTAGCTCACTCATGAGGCTCAGCTGGGGTAGGCCCAGCTGTACCTCCAGTCACCCCTGTGTCCATGTTCATCAGGCACCACACAGGCATGTTCCTCAATGCAAATCTGATCTGACACTGCTCTGCACTGAACTCCTTGGCGTCTCCCCCTGCTCCCCACCCCTCCAGCCCCTCCCATTGAGCGCCTCTCAGTTTCCCTCATGCCTCCAATTCCCCAAATGTCTTTCCACCCAAGCTCCCCGTCTCCTTGCTACCCTAGGCGTGTTCTTCAAGTCTCACTTTATCTGTTAACTTCTGGAAATCTGTGCCCGATCTCACACTTGGAGTTAGGCATTCTTCCTATCATGGGCAGGGTGAATAGTACCTTCTACAGTCATCATGATATAAACACTTATGAGGGCCGGCCGCGGTGGCTCACACCTGTAATCCCAGCACTTTGGGAGGCTGAGGTGGGTGGATCACGAGGTCAGGAGTTCGAGACCATCCTGGCCAAGATGGTGAAACCCCGTCTCTACTAAAAATACAAAAAATTAGCTGGGTGCGGTGGCGGATGCCTGTAATCCCAGCTGCTCGGGAGGGTGAGGCAGGACAATCACTTGAACCTGGGAGGTGGAGGTTGCAGTGAGCTGAGATCACGCCTTTGCACTCCAGCCTGGGCGACAGTGCAAGACTCTGTCTCAACAAATAAACAAACAAACACTTTTGATTTCTTTGAACATTGTGATGTAACTCTCTGGGGAAGATCAGCAGGGGGAAATGGTGTGTTTGTGTATAGGTGTTGAGGGGTATGGTCAGAGAGCTTAGTCTCCATTTTTCAGAGTAGGAAGTTTGAAGTCAGTAGATGGTGGTTCAAATTGAAAAAATCAATAGACATATAAGCTTTATTATTTAGAATTAGAAATGTAAATATTTTTAAAAACCCAAGAGTTTGACAACTACAGGGCTGGATTAGGGGGCTGTTGCTATATAACTGATGTTTAATGTATAACTAATCAAACAACAACTACATTAGGAAAATAAGTAAAACAGATCAAATCAGAGCTGCTCTGTGTGGGGTAGGAGGGCAGCTCCAGCCCATCCCTGGGACTCTCAGAGCACAATTTGAAACTAGACGCAGGCCAGGTCTGGTGGCTCATGCCTGTAATCCCAGCACTTTGGGAGGCCAAGCCCAGAGGATCTCATGAGGCCAGGAGTTCAAGACCAGCCCGGGCAACACAGTGACACCCCATCTCTACAAAAAAGTTAAAAAGTTAGCCAGGCACAGTGGCATGTGCCTATATTCCCATCTACTCAAGAGGCTGAGGCAGGAGGATCGCTTGAGCCCAGGAGTTCAAGGCTGCAGTGAGCCATGATTGTGCCCTGCACTCCAGCCTGCACGACAGAGCAGGACCCCGTCTCTTAGAAAGCAAACCCACAAACAACAACAACAACAACAAAAAACAGAAGCCAGGCAAACCATGGTTTCACGAAACTCCCTGGAAATGAGAGAACTGTCTAACACCTTGGATGAGAAATAGCCATTTGAACAATTAATTTGTGATTCAGGATGGGAGAATTTTGCCACATTTAGTTTCTACAAAGAAGCAAATGCTGCCATTTCTCTTTTGAGGTTTATTCAACATTTAGAAAGCCTGGGCAATATGGTGAAACCACGTCTCTACAAAAAAGTTTTAAAAAAAATTAGCCGGGTGTGGTGGCATGCACCTGTAGTCCCAGCTACTTGGGAGGCTGAGGTGGGAGGATCACTTGAGCCCAGGAGGCATAGGTTGCAATGAGCCAAGATCTTGCCACTGCACTCCAGCCTGGGAGACAGAGCCAGAACATGTCTCAAAAAAAAAAAAAAAAGAATCTAGAAGAATAAATCTACCAATCATCACTGGCCCCACATCTAAGCAACTGTGTCTTTCAGAGATGGTCTCTCTTGGCTGGTGAGGTACCTTCCTGGTCCTTCACTGAGATTCAAAGGGGGTGTCTTGAGAAAGAGCGACAGAAAAAGCTCTGTTCCCAGAGCTATCTCTGAAAACATGTAGAATTTTTTTGGCAAAATCTTGGCCATATTAAATCAAGGAAACTGCATATTTTAATTAGGTTCTTCCTGGGCCAAGTTTTTACATAGATTTTCAGCAATGTTAATGCATGATATATAAGCATAGAACCTTGATGTCAGGAAGAGGCTGTATGAAGATACTAATGCAACATACTGCATTTAGAAAGCCTTTCACCCTGAATCATATAGAACAGAAACATCTTTTTACGATCTCATTTCACAGTCACATGTGAAATTTATCTTTAAGCCTTAGGAATGTACATATATTTCTATATATTTGTAAAATCTGCAGAAGGGAGCACAAGGCATTAGGAGAGTTACATTCAGGCTTTTCTGCAGGATTTCCAGGAGCACCTCTTTTTGTGGGGTTTCCTTAACATAGAAGCGTTTTATTTTCTTTTTCCCCTTTAAGAAAAATTTAATTTTTTGTTTTGTTTTGTTTTGTTTTGTTTTGAGATGGAGTTTCGCTCTTGTTGCTCAGGCTGGAGTGCAATGGTGCGATCTCAGTTCACTTCAACCATCCGCCTCCTGGGTTTAAGTGATTCTCCTGCCTCAGCCACCCAAGTAGCTGGGATTGCAGGCACACACTGCCATGCTTGGCTAATTTCTGTATTTTTAGTAGAGACGGGGTTTCACTATGTTGGTCAGGTAGGTCTCAAACTCCTGAACTCAGGTGATCCATCCACCTCGGCCTTCCAAAGTGCTGGGATTAAAGGTGTGAGCCACTGCTCTTGGTCCTTGATTTTTTTTTTTTTTTTTTTTTTTTAAGACAAGGTCTTCCCTGTTGCCCAGGCTGGAGTGTGAGTGGTGTGATCATAGCCCACTGTAGCCTTGACCTTCTGGACTCAAGCCTCCCGAGTAGCTGGGACTACAGTGTGTGCCACCATGCCTGGCTAATTTTTTAATGAAATGGGGGTCTCACTTTGTTGCCCAGGCTGATCTTCAACTCCTGGGCTCAAGCGACCCACCCCCTTCAGCCTCCCAAAGTGCTAGGATTACAGGCATGAGTCACTGCACCCAGCTAAAATTTTTTTTTAAGACTTAATTTTTTTTAGACCAGGTTTATGTTCACAGCAAAAAGGAAGGTACAGAGAGTTCCGGTGTACTCCCTGCCAGCCTCCCCGATGATTAACATCCCCTCAGAGCAGTCCATTTTTTACAATCCATGAACCTACACATCATCATTGCCCAGAGTCCACAGCGTACATTAGGGTTCACTCTGCTGTTGAACATGCTGTGGGTTTGGACAAATGTACAATGACATGCATCCATACAGAGTATGGATGTATCATACAGAGTAGTTTCACTGCCCTAAATAGAAGCCTTTTTTTTG
Organism: Homo sapiens; assembly: GCF_000001405.40. Taxonomy (NCBI): domain Eukaryota; kingdom Metazoa; phylum Chordata; class Mammalia; order Primates; family Hominidae; genus Homo; species Homo sapiens. The sequence continues at coordinate 90,667,366 of NC_000015.10, read as the reverse complement.
AGGTGTGTCCCCAGGTTTTGCCCTTTAGCTGAGAACTCTCACACTCACTGCCACTCCCAAGAGTGGACTGTGTCCCCATTCCAACCCCACGTGCTCACACAACCACAGGGCAGAGGGGGCAGCTGCCCCGTGGGGAAGTGCCCCAGAGACTGAGCCCATTGCTCAGTCTGCCCTGGGGATCTGGATGGGGACATCCAGAGACAGGGTCAGTTAGTGTAATCACCAAACTTGTTTGGATCATGGAAAGACCCACGTGTTTCAGCAGAGGTGAGGGAGCAGCTCTGCACAGCGGGGAGAGGGGAAAAGTAGGTGAGCTGGGGAAACAGGGAGAAGAGATTTCTGTCCTGAGGCAGGGACAGTTGGAGACAGAGTCAAACAGGATTCAAGTGATGGCAAGATGGAAAGACAGAAACAGGGACACAGTCGAAAAAAGATGCCACCGAGCAACAGAGGCGCAGACAGAAAGGAAGGCAAGCTGGGCCTGCTTTGGCTCCCCCTGGACATCCCTGCCCCCAGGCCTGGCTGCTCCTCAGCGCAGATTCCCAGGAGCTGCCTGGCCACCCTCAGATAAACCCCCCTAAAACCACGTGTTTCTTCTCCTTCCTCGTCTCCTTTTTTTTTTTCTAGACAGGGTCTCACTCTGTTGCCCAGTCTGGAGTGCAGTGGCACCATCTCGGCTCACTGCAACCTCCGCCTCCCAGGTTCAAGCAATTCTTCTGCCTCAGGTGCCACCATGCCCGGCAAATTTTTTTGTGTTTTTAGTTAAGACGGGGTTTCACCATGTTGGCCGGGCTGGTCTTGAACTCCTGACCTTAAGTGATTCGTCTACCTCAGCCTCCGAAAGTGCTGGGATAACAGGCATGAGCCATAGTGCCCAGACCCCCTTTTCTTCTTCACCTGGTGGAAGGGGCTCTTCTTTGCATCCACGAAATGCCAGGTGAGTCAGTCAGCAAACTGCTTGGGAATGATGGGAGCTAGGGCTGCTGTTTTGGGTCTGTTTTGCTCACTTATTTTTATCATTTTGAGGGGTTTCGGGGGTGAGGAGTAAGTGCTCCGCCCCCCACGCCCCACAAGGGATGGGAATTAGGCATGTCAGTCAGTATAACACAATTTTCTAAGTATGTCTCTTTGTTCAGACACCAGTATTTTTTTTTATTTTTTTTTATTTTTCTATCTCCAGTTATTAAGTCACTGCTGCTGTAGGAGTGCCACTTAAGTGCCTGGGTTTTTATTTTTGTCCCCAAGGTACAAAAAGTACTACCAGCCGCGCACAGTGGCTCACGCCTGTAATCTCATCACTTTGGGAGGCCAAGGCGGGAGGATCGCTTGAGCTCAGGAGCTCAAGACCAGCCTGAGCAACGTAGTGAGACCCCATCTTTACAAAAAGTTTAAAAATTAGCCGGGCGTGGTGGCGTGCGCCCGTAGTCCCACCTACTCGGAAGGATGGCTTCAGCCCGGAAGTTCGAGGCTGTGGTGAGCCGAGATCGCTCCACTGCACTCCAGCCTGGGCGACAAAGCGAGACCCTGTCTCAGAATAAGAATAAAAATAAAAGTACTGCCTACTTTCTGAACGCGCTCAGGCGGTGCCGCCTCAGGCGCTGTGGTGGGGCCGCGCACAGGCTGCCTGGGTGATCTCAGGAGGGCGAAGCCCCACGACGCAGGTTTGGGGCGGTCCTGTCCAACCCCCTGCGCATCCCGGGTGTCCAGAAACGCAGGCTGAACGCTGGAGCCCGGGGCGTCCTCGGTGCCGGAAGCGGCCGTGCGGCCGGAGCTCCGGGGAGGGACAGCCGGGCAGAGGAGCCGGGCTTTGGGGTCTCAGCCGTTTGCAGGGGTCCCCGGGCCCCCGTCCTTCCACGCGGAGGGCGTGAAGCGGCGGGGACGCGGCTGGGGAGCCCCCCCCGCGGCGGTGAGGACGCGGCGCCGCTCCCTTCCGGTGCTGCTCACCTGGAAGCCGGAGGCCGCTGGGGGTTTGGGGCGGCTGCACGCTCCGGGGTGGGGGGATGCGGGAGCCCGGTCAGGCCCAGCCGCCTTTCCCGGTGGTGAGGAGCGCTGTGCCGGGCTCCGGGGGTCTTACGCTTTCAGCTGCCGGGCCTGCCCCCGGCCACAACAAGGCCCTGACCCAGCTCTGTCGGGGGACGCTACCCGGCCCTGTCCCACTCCGGCCCAACGCTGTGATCCTAGGGTTCTCAGGCAACGGCCAGGCCGAGGGGCCTGCCATGTCCAGCTCGGGGCTGGGCTGTCACCGCCAAGTTAGATCCGGGCCAGCGCTGTGCTCGCGTTGCTTCACTCATTTGCTCACCCATGCATTGACTGACCGACTCCCCCACCAGGACCTAAGGGTCCGCTGCACCGGGCCAGGGGGCCCATCACCGTCAGCGGATTGATGAATTGCGCTCCCTTTTCAGGGCTCCGTTAGTTTTTGTTTTGTTTTATTTTTAAGACAATCTTGCTCTGTGGCCCAGGCTGGAGTGCAGTGGCGTGATCTTGGTTCGCTGAAGCCTCGACCTCCCAGGCTCAAGCGATCTCCCCGCCTAGGCCTCCAGGGTAGCTGGGACCACAGGCACGTGCCACCACACCTGGCTATTTTTCTGTTTGTTTTGTTTTGTATTGTTTTGTTTTGTTTTGTAGAGACAGGGTTTTGCCATGTTGCCCAGAATGGTCTCTAACTCCTGAGCTCAAGGGATCCTCCTGTCTGGGCCTCCCAAAGTGCTGGGATTACAGGCGTGAGCCACCACACCTGGCCTTTTTTTTTTTTTTTCTCTCAAAATCGCATCACACGCAGCACAGGGGTCCCTTAGTCTCTGCATTTCACCGAAGGTCGGAGATTTTCCTTGATTGTCTTTTCCCGTGGCCAACATCAGGGCTGGTGGCTTTAAGAGTCCTGGGGGACACTTTTCTCTTAAGGATCTGGTAGCTTTCACTCCATTGTCTCAGGCATTGACGGTTGCATGAGAAGTTCACGGTTGTCCTGATTATTAAGATCTTCGGAAATCATCTAAGTTTGAATTTTTTCTGCATGAAATTTGGGAGAAGTCTTTATTTATTTATTTATTTTTGAGACGGAGTTTCACTCTTGTTGCCCAGGCTGGAGTGGCCATCTTGGCTCCCTTCAACCTCTCACTCCCGGATTCAAGTAATTCTTGTGCCTCAGCCTCCCGAGTAGGTGAGATTACAGGCATGCGCCACCACACCCAGCTAATTTTTGTATTTTTAGTAGAGACTGGGTTTCACTATGTTGGCCAGGCTGGTCTTGAACTCCCGACCTCAGGTGATCCACACGCCTCGGCCTCCCAAAGTGCTGGGATTACAGGTGTGAGCCACCACGCCTGGCCAGAAGTCTTTATTTTTGTACCAAGTTTAAGAGTTTCGCCAAGAGATAGCTTAGGGTCAGTAGTCTCGTTTTAATTGGTACAAGATGACCCATCTCAGTTCATTTTAAAGTCTTGCATTCATTTATTTGACAAATATTTATTGAGTGCTTACTATATGCTAGGTAGGCACTGTTTTAAGTTCTGGGGAGAGAGCAGTGAAGAAAATAGACAAGCTCTTTGTCCTTAAGGATTTTACAATGGGGTGTGTGTGTGTGTGTGTGTGTGTGTGTGTGTGGTGTGAGTGAGAGAGAGAACAAGTTTTTGATTATTGATTTCCTTCCACCTGATTTATTTTATCCAGAAACTTAAAGTGTTTTTCCCTCATACTATATCTTCACACTTTATCCTAAATGCCTGGCATTTTCCCTTGTTTTCTTTTCATCTCTCCATTAATTTCCCTCACTTGCCACATAGGTTTCTCTTGTTGATCTTCTGCTTAATAATCCAATTTCCTGTAAGCCTATTTATTTCCGCTTCCAGGGACAATCTGATATGATGAAGCACCCAGTTCCCCCTGCACTGTCCCTGTCTAATCTCCCTCAGAATAGGTAATAGCTGTTTTCTAAAATCTCCTTACATTTCATATGAGAGATCTATTTCAGGAAATAGGATTATCAATACAATTTTGCTGCTTTCTTCTTTTACATCTGTGCTCAGGGCTTTCTCACTGGGATCAGATTAATTTTCTTCCTCTTATATTCAGACCTCCATGCAATTCATGTGTAAATCCAACAAGAGCAAGTGGATGTTTAAACCCTTGTAGCATGTATGTGTAAATAAAGAGAAGAAAGGAAGGAGGAATGGAGCGGAGGGGAGAGGACAATTTAAATAGTGCCAGCGAGTCTACCTATCATTCTACTCAGAGTGTGTGCCCAGAATAAGCAGAGATAGATGCGATGGGAGCCTGTTACTCTCTCAGTGGGTCTCACAAATGCCTCTTACACTGTGAGCATCTCATTATGAGGACTGTGACTTTCATGTCTAAAGATGTGTATTTTTTGGCCAGGCACGGTGGCTCACGCCTGTAATCCCAGCAATTTGGGAGGCTGAGGTGGGCGGATCCTCTGAAGTCAGGAGTTCAGGACCAGCCTGGCCAACATGCTGAATCCCCGTCTTTACTAAAAATACCAAAAAAAAATTAGCCAGGCATGGTGGTGCATGCCTGTAATCCCAACTACCCGGGAGGCTGAGGCAGGAAAATCACTTGAATCCGGGAGGCAGAGATTGCAGTGATCGCGAGATCACTCCAGCCTGGGCAACAGGGCGAGACTCTGTCTCAAAAAAAAAAATAAAATAAAATAAATAAATAAATAAATAAATAAATGTATGGGTAATTTAAGGGATTTTCATGAGTAACTCTGTATGGGATAAAGTCTTACGTAGAGATTTTAGAATCACTCCTCCGATAAGATGTGACCCTATCATACTAGACTTGTCAACCACAGTGTCTGAGCGGCCATGGGACTTCTAATTGACTAAGGTAGGCAGACACATCTCCCTGAAGCTTCCAATTTATAGGCCACCTGGCAATCTATGGCATGGCTTGGTACAGACAGATAAGATGAGCCAATCATATTCCCCTTCTCTGGAATCTGAAATTGGGAATAACCAAAGGAAGAGGCACTTAGCCATGGAAACTGAGGCTTCATGAAATGCACTGTCATTTTTGCAATACCCTATTGGCTACACAGGTCAGCTCTATTCAATATAGGAAGGAACTTCATGGCACAATTCATTAATTTAACATTTGTTGAGCACCTATGATGTGCCAGGCACTGTTCTAGGTCCTGAGGATATGGTGATGAACAAGATCCCCACTCTCATAGCTTACCCAGCAGATGCCCTAGGCAGGCAATGAATAAATATATGAGCAAGATGAAAAGAGAATGCCAGAAAGCCCTGAAGTTTTGGAGCAAAGCCATGAACTCTTTTCACAACTATTTCCTTTTTGAAAAACATCTCTCCACTTGCTGTTGGGTTCTGTTGTTTGTGAGTGCAAGGATGGAAGAAGGCAGATGACGATGTTAAGCAGCCAAAGGGGTGGACTGTTCAGGCCATGGAGTTAGTGTAGCAGGAGATTAACAATAATAACTAAGGCTGGGCGCAGTGGCTCACGCCTGTAATTCCAGCACTTTGGGAGGCTGAGACAGGCAGATCATCTGAGGTCAGGAGTTTGAGACCAGCCTGGCCAACATGGTGAAATCCTGTCTCTACTAAAAATGCAAAAATTAGCCAGGCACAGTGGTGGGTGCCTGTGATCCCAGTACTTGGGAGGCTGAGGCAGAAGAATTGCTTGAACCCAAGAGGCGGAGGTTGCAGTGAGCCAAGATTGCACCACTGCACTCCAGCCTGGGCGACAGAGTGAGACTCCATCTCAAAAATAATAATAATAACTGATAATAATATAGAACAATTCTAACAATATACTGTGATAAAACTGATGTGAATGTGGTTTCTCTCTCTCTCTCTCTCTCTCTGTCTCTCTCAAAATGCCTTATTGTACTGCACTCACCTATTTTTAGATGGTGGTTGACCGCAGGTAACTGAAACCACAGAAAGCAAAACTGCAATGTGGGGGGGCTGCTTGCATGCTCCTTTCAGACCTGTTTGTGAGAGAGTTTTAACTGGAGGGTATCTAAATAATCAGAGAGTGGGAAGAGAAAGGGGTACTCACTTTTTATAGTTTTGTATTGTTTGTGAATGTTTTCTATTTCATATGTTTTGTAATTAAAGCCAAAAAGGGTAATGACAAAAAGGAAAAAAAATGCTATGTGTCTGGCTTTTGGGAAGTTATTAGAGGGAGTGGAAATTCTACCACCTCCTATTGCTAAATCTCATTAAAGTGCCCTTGAAATCAACCCAAACCAACTCTCAGGCACGGCCAGAACAACGGAGGCAGAGCAGAGCTCAGGATCCTGAATCCACACCCCCCGGCCACTCCTGGTGGGAAGAGAAGAAGGGGGCTCGTTTCCTGTGGTTCCCACCCTACCTGGCTGGAGAGGCTGATGTGGGGCGAGGTGTGACCACCAGTGCATGTAGGAGGCGGAGAAGGCAGTTTCTCCCACTGGCCGGTGCCCTGGGCCCAGCCCAGGACGGGGAACTAGGACAAGAGCCCAGCCCTCCAGCATCAGGTCTGGCGTGGCTCTGGGAGGAAGGAGGAAGAAAACTCACCCATGTCACCCCAAGTCATGGGGCATTTCCAGTGAGCACATACAGACTTAGGAACCCGGGAGAAAGCCTGGAGGCTAGAAAAGCTGAGACCACAGTCAGCTGGGCTGCAGATCTTTGCTCCGCCTTCCTCCAGACAGCACAAGTGACTCAGCCCTCCCCAGGGTGCTGCTTCTCGCTCTGACACCACGATTTGGCCTCCTCTCACTCACAACTCTATCTCCTCTCTGTGTCATTCCTCCTACTCAGGGCCGATAGTCAAAATATCAAACCACTAATAAAGCATGGGCACCTGCCAGTCAGACTACACACCAGCTGGGAACAATGGCTAGAGGTAGCAAATTGCCCCAAAACTTAGTGGCATGAAACAACAAACATTTGTTACATAACACACTAATGGGTCAGGAGTTTGGGTGGTTCTGGCTCAGGGCCTCTCATGAAGTTGTCAGCATGTCAGAGTTGGAACCATTTGAAAGCTTGGCTGGGGCTGGAGGATCCTCTTTCAAGGTGTCTCATTCACAAGGCTGTCGGCAGAAAGCCGCAGTGCCTCCCCAGTGTGTGGGCCTCTCCATAGGGCTGCTTGAGTATCTTCACAACATGGTGGCTGGCTTCCCCAGAGGGAGACATTTGAGAGACCAAGGCAGAGTCACAATGTCTTTTATGACCTATCCTTGAAAGTTATATACCGTCACATTGCAGCATCCTATTGGGTCAGCCCTAGTCAATGTGAGAGGGGCTACACAAGAGTGTAAATACAAGGATGCAAGGATCACTGGAGGATGTTTTGGAGGCTGGCTACCCCAGGTACTATATTATGTCCTGTTTAAAACTCTCTAATGGCTTCCCACTAACCTCAGAATAAAATCCAAATGTCTTACCATGATCTGCAAGGCCTGGCATGAACTGACTCCTACCTACTTTCCAATCTCATTATGTTCCTCTTTATTCACCTGCACTAAACTCCAAACACATCAACCCTCCCTACATCCATCAACATCTGAAGCTCATCCTTTACATTTTCTGCTCCCCGTGTCTAGAAGTCTCCTCGCCCAGATCTTTCTATGGCTAGTTCCTTCTCATTGTTTGGGTCTCAGCCTAACGTCACCTCCTCAGAGAGGCTTCACTGACCCCTTATCAAGTGTAGCCCTCACCCCACCTGTCACTCTGTCTTACATCACCTTGTGCTGACCTCCTCCTAGCACTGATCTCTATCTGAAAGTAATTTATTTGATTATTGCTTTTCTCCCTTCGTGTACTGGTAGGAGTCCTTAATTACAAGCAACAGACTGCTCTTTAGCTGCTTTTAAGCTACAGAGGAACCTATTAAAGGATAGGAGGTGCCTCATAAAATCTTAGCGAAATCAGAGAACCAGGCTCAAAGGCCATTTACCTGCACTGGTTCTTTCTGCTGCTGCCTCTGGGATCTGCTGTCATCCTGACAGAAAGGACTCCAGTCATCTGCTTCTCAGTGTCACTTAGCCTCATGCAGGAGCAGCCAACGGGTGGTGTCTTAAGTTGTATGCTGTGCCCAATCTTCAAGAGAGATGGGGAAAGGTTCTGGCTTCCATCATAAGCAGGTGTGAGTTCATAAGGTAGGAAATTCGCAAAATAGGAAGACTGTTCCATGGGCTGGGGAAGCCAAAGAGAGCTGATGCTATTTGGCCTCGACAGTCCACGCCTTTAGCTGCTTAATGTCATCAGCCAGCCTTCCTCCATCCTTACGCTTACTAACAGCAGAACCCAACAGCAAGCTGAGAGATGCTTCTCAATAAGAAAATAATTGGGAAAAGAGTTCATGGCTTTCGGGCCGGGCGCGGTGGCTCACGCCTGTAATTCCAACACTTTGGCAGGCTGAGGCTGGTGGATCACGAGGTCAGGAGTTCGAGACCAGCCTGACCAACACGGTGAAACCCCATCTCTACTAAAAATAGAAAAATTAGCTGGGTGTGGTGGCACGTGCCTATAATCCCAGCCACTCGGGAGGCTGAGGCAGGAGAATCGCTTGAATCCGGGAGGCAGACGTTGTGGTGAGCCGAGATCGCACCACTGCACTCCAGCCTGGGTGACAGAGCAAGACTCTGTCTCAAAAAAAAAAAAAAAAAAAAAGAGTTCATGGCTTTACTCCAAAACTTTAGTGCCTTCTGCTATTCTCTTGTCATCTTGCTCACATATTTATTTATTGCCTGCTTAGGGCACCCACTGGGTAACCTATGAGAGCAGGGATCTTGTTCATCACCATATCCTCAGGACCTAGAACAGTGCCTGGCACATCATAGGTGCTCAATAAATGTTAATGAATTGTGTACATGAAGTCCCCTCTGTGGACTGATGGCCAAACCTCGCCCCACATCAGCCTCTCCAGCCAGGTGGGATGGGGATGGTGGGAAGCGAGCTCTCCTCTTCTTCTCTTCCCACCAGGAGTGGCCGGGGGGTGTGGATTCAGGATCCTGAGCTCTGCTCTGCCTCCGTTGTTCTGGCTGTGCCTGAGAGTTGGTTTGGGTTGATTTCAAGGGCATTTTAATGAGATTTAGCAATAGGAGGTGGTAGAATTTCCACTCCCTCTAATAAATTCCCGAAAGTCAGACACATAGCATTTTTTTTCCTTTTTGTCATTACCCTTTTTGGCTTTAATTACAAAACATATGAAATAGAAAACATTCACAAACAATACAAAACTATAAAAAGTGAGTACCCCTTTCTCTTCCCACTCTCTGATTATTTAGATGCCCTCCAGTTAAAACTCTCTCACAAACAGGTCTGAAAGGAGCATGCAGGCAGCCCCCCCCCATCGCAGTTTTGCTTTCTGTGGTTTCAGTTACCTGCGGTCAACCACCATCTAAAAATAGGTGAGTGCAGTACAATAAGGCATTTTGAGAGAGAGAGAGACCGCATTCACATCAGTTTTACCACAGTATATTGTTATAATTGTTCTATTTTATTATTAGTTGTTAATCTCTTACTGTGCCTAATTTATAAATTAAACTTTATCATAGGTATGCATGTATAAGAACAAACATAGTCTACATAGCGTTCAGTCCTATTAGCTGTTTCAGGCATCCCCTGGAGGTCTTGCAACGTATCCCCTGAGGATAAGGGGGGTGCCTATTGTACTCGTTCATGTCCATGTAGGGTTGAGCTGGCATTTCCAAAGGACAGATTCCTAGAAGTTTATCTGCACATTTGCAGTGTTGATAGGTTCTTCCAAATGGCCCTTCAAAAGATTCTACAGCATATAGTGCCCACAGTTTACGGAGCACTACTTTCCCTTTGCCAACTCTAGATATTATCTGTTTTAAAATTTGCATTTATCTCATCCCCAGGGAGCATCAAGGTCATTTCTCAACTCCAGGCTATCTGAATTTCTTCTCTTGCAAGTTGCCTGTTCTTATCCATTGACCATTTATATATTGGAATATAAAGTTTTATCCTCTGATATGAAGGGGCTGTTTGCATTTTAGTGCTATTTTGCATGTTGCACATATTGTCTATTATTTGTCTTTTATATTTGTCATAGTCTCTAGCCCTACAGTTTTACATTTTTATGAGGTCAAATCTGTTCATTTTTTCCTTTAGGGCTTCTGGATTTTGTGTCTTGCTTAGGTTTTTCCCTTCTCCAAGAATATAGAAATATTTTATCATATTTTCTTCTAGGATCTTAGTAATTCTGTTTGAGGCTGGGTGCAGTGGCTCACACCTGTAATCCCAGCACTTTGGGAGGCTGAGGCGAGTGGATCACTTGAGCCCAAGAGCTGGAGACCAGCCTGGGCAACATGGTGAAACTCTGTCTCTACAAACACTACAAAAATTAGCCAGGCGTTGTGGTGGGCCCCTGTGGTTCCAGCTACGCAGGAGGCTGAGGTGGGAGAATCACTTGAACCCAGGAGGCAGAGGTTGCAGTGAGCAGAGATAGAGCCAGTGGACTCCAACCTGGGCGACAAAGTGAGACCTTGTCTCAAAATAATAACAGTAATTCCCAGCTACTCGGGAGGCTGAGGCAGGAGAATGGCGTGAACCCGGGAGGTGGAGCTTGCAGTGAGCTGAGATCGCGCCACTGCACTCCAGCCTAGGCGACAGAGCGAGACTCCGTCTCAAAAAAAATAATAAAATAAAAATAAAAATAGTAATTCTGTTTGACAGCTAATGCCAAATTGTCCTCTAGAAAGGTTGTTCCAATTTACATCCCGTCAGCTGGAAGAACCCTATTTCCCCAACACCCTCCTCAGCCCTGAAAATTAGCAATCTTTAAAAAGTTTTGCCAGTGGTGAATATGTATTGTTCAGCGTTGTTGATGTTTTAATTAGCATTAATTTTGAGTGAGATCCAAAATCTTTTCATGATATTAGTTACTTGTGTTTCTCTGTGAACCGCAGGATCCTCTCCTTGCCCCTCTTTTCTCTGTTGGGCTGTTGGGCTTTATCTTATTGATAAAGGGCTGTTTATGAAGGAAATGAGCCCCCGTGTCCTCATCTGTAGGGTAAATAATTTCCCCAGTAGGTCTCTCTGCCACCTCCTGGCAGTAGGGGCGGAGCAAGTCCTTGCCACACCCACCGGTCGCCTACAGCTGCCTCCTCCCCTGGACTCAGCACATCTCTAAGTTCTTAAGCTGGCCCTGGACTCAGCACATCCCTAAGTCCTTAAGCTGGCCCTTCCCTTCCTTCCCTTCACAGGTGTTCTCTTCTGCTTTTTTTTTTTTTTTTTTTTTTTTGAGATGGAGTCTCACTCTTGTTGCCCAGGCTGGAGTGCAATGGCACGATCTCAGCTCACCGCAACCTCCACCTCCTGGGTTCAAGCAATTCTCCTGCTTCAGCCTCCCGAGTAGCTGGGATTACAGGCATGCACCACCACGCCTGGCTAATTTTTTGTATTTTTAGTAGAGACGGGGTTTCTCCATGTTGGTCAGGCTGGTCTCGAACTCCTGACCTCAGGTGATCTGCCCTTCTCGTCCTCCCAAAGTGCTGGGATTACAGGCGTGAGCCACTGCGCCCGGCCTTCGGGTGTTCTCTTCTGAACACATCTTATGGCTAGAGTTTTCACATTCAATTCGGTCCTCACAACTTCTGATAATGAGGACATCCCTTTGTAGTTTCTATTCTTATTGCAGATTTTAAAATACATGTTGTTTCAGTCATGTTTAGAAACTTGGGTTGGGACAGGGAAGCTGGAACAAGTGCTCGGGCTGCCATATCTCCAGTGTTAAAATCTTTTTTTTTTTTTTTGAAACAGGTCTGGCTCCGTTGCCCAGGCTGGAGTGCAGTGGTATGATCTCGGCTCACTGCAAACTCCACCTACCAGGTTCTAGTGATTCTCCTGCCTCAGCCTCCTGAGTAGCTGGGATTACAGGCACCTACCACCACACTGGCTAATTTTTGTATTTTTAGTAGAGATGGAGTTTCACCATGTTGGTCAGGCTAGTCTCAAACTCCTGACCTCAAGAGATCTGCCTGCCTCGGCCTCCCAAAATGTTGGGATTATAGGCGTGAGCCACTGCGCCTGTCCATGGATCCTTTCAAAGTCTTTAAATCTCTCCCACATCCTGGCTTCATCCTCCCCTGCCTGTCTCCATGCCTTTCCGGTGTGCCCCACAGAACACCAGCCCCATGAGATGTTCCAGACAAAAGATTCAGGGGACAGTTTGAGAAGTGCTGACTACCACGCCGACCTCTTGGAAATGGGCTGGCGTTTCAAAGATTTGAAGAAGTCCTTCAGTGCAGACATGTCTTCACTGTTTCTCCAGTAGCCAGTGCCCCAGGCTGGTCTGAACACTGAGGTGTGCACCCCTTCTCAGCATTATGCAGAATCAGCGCTTTCCATGCCTTGCTGGGGGGCATGCTGGCTTTCAGGAAAGGGCATCACTTTCAGGGAAGCGATGAGAGGGTATTGTCTACAGTGGCTAGAGATGCATGAAGGGGTCACGGTCACATAGGAAGCTCCTCAGAGCTGGGCCAGGGACAGGAAGTGACACATTTCACCAGCCCCCACTGCTACCACCCGCTCCAAAAGAGAAGGCAGAGCCAGCACTAGGAGCCTGGATGGGAGGCCAAGAGCCTGGATTCCAGGCCAGGATCCCAGATGGGAGTCCAGGAGCCCTGATGGGAGGCCAGGAGCCCAGATGTGAGGCCAGGGGCCCAGATTCAAGGCCAGGAGCCTGGATGGGAGGCCAGGAGCCCAGATGTGAGGCCAGGAGCCTGGCTGGGAGCCCAGGAGCCCAGGTGGGAGGCCAGGAGCCCAGATGTGAGGCCAGGAGCCCTCATGGGAGGCCAGGAGCCCAGATGTGAGGCCAGGAGCCCAGCTGGGAGCCCAGGAGCCCAGCTGGGAGCCCAGGAGCCCAGATGTGAGGCCAGGAGCCCTCATGGGAGGCCAGGAGCCCAGATGGAAGCCCAGGAGCCCGGCTGGGAGCTCAGGAGCCCGGGTGGGAGGCCAGGAGCCCGGGTGGGAGGCCAGGAGCCCAGATGCGAGGCCAGGAGCTCGGATTTGAGGTCAGGAGCCCGAATGGAAGGCCAGGAGCCCTGATGGGAGGCCAGGAGCCTTGATGGGCGGCCAGGAGCCTTGATGGGAGGCCAGGAGCCCGGATGGAAGTCCAGGAGCCTGGATGTGAGCCCAGGAGCTTTTACCTGGGAGCACCAGGGAGAACAGTGGCCACTTTCCTGGCCAAGCTAGTACATGACAACAGGGAGAAGAACCTCGCAAGTACAGGTAGGGGTTGGCGTCAGGGAGAAAAACGAGCTCTTTGTCAAAATATAAACAAAGAGCCCTGGAGTAACGGAAATCCTGGAGGTCTGCTCTGGGAAGTGCCCAGGTATCCAGGGTCAACCAGGGCTGCCTCATTAACACAGTGTGGAACTGCCCCGGGAGAGTGAGCCCTGAATGCCAGAATTCTGGGACAGTGAGGGACAGCTGTCAGCTGGGTTTCCCAAACTCTGCCCACCAACATCTTGCTATGATAATGTAGGCTCTACCTAGCCTTAAAATTTGTCAGCCAAACAAGACCCTTTTGAAGACCACTTGAGCCCAGGAGGCAGAGACTGCAGTGAGCTAAGATCGCGCCACTGCACTCCAGCCTGGGTGCAGCGACCAGGGTGCAGAGCGAGACCCCGTCTCAAAAAAACAAAACAAAAACAAACAAATGAACAAACAAAAAACACCTCAAACCAGGACCCTTTTGAGGATGAAAGGAGGCACCATTAATAATCGTGCCAGGACAACAGACAATCAACAGGGACACAGGGCCGTGTGCATAGGAACGAGGCCTAGAGGCAGTGCTACTTAAGAGCCAAGTGCATGGGCCCTGGAGTTACAGAGACCTGGGTTCAAATGTGATCTCCACCCTTCCTAGCTGTGACGATGGGGCAAGGCAGTGGCCTCTCTGTGCCTCAGTCTCCTTATCTATCAAATGGGAATGGTGGTGCCTATCTCATGGGGTGTGCTTGCCCCTTGGAAGCAGTTCCTAAATGTTAGCTATCATTTTCCTTACTGTTCTTTCTATAAAATGGGTTCTTTATTGCTAGAAATCATAAATAAAACAAGCAGGTTTGTTGAGAAGGACAAAGCCCATACTCTGAAAGGGGCATTGAACAGTTTTCTGAACACAGAGGGTTCCTGCCCAGGCCTCCGCCCCCCTCTCTGATGGGTCTGGCCAGGGCACCAACACCCATCCTCAATCTTCTCAGGACACCAGCTCTGCAGCCCAGGAGTCCCCAGGACTAACCTGATATGATTCCTATCCTCACCTGCTCAAAGCCTGGCTTGTTTAAAGTACGGGATCCTCCTCAGCTGGCTTCTATATAAGCGCTGCTTCCCTCTAACAACCTCTGCAACCTCCCAGAGACCGTCTTACTGGCTGCAAACGAAGCCACGCAAGCTGTGGCTGCCGGGCCCCTCTCCTTCCAAAAGCCAGGCCAGTGTAACCCGGTCCCCATGTCATGCTGGCTGGGTCAGTGTTCTCTCCTAGGAATCTGAAGCTTGAATGGGGGAGAAACAGGAGTCCAGGAGTCGCTGCAAATGAGCCATATGGACAGTCATGGGAACCAAAGCTCAGGGCTTTTGAACTTTCTTGCCCAAACTTGCAGGTAAGTCCTGGAAACAGAGACCTTTGCCTCTCCATCCAGACTGGGCCTTCCGGAAACAGAGACCTTTGCCTCTCCACCCGGACTGGGCTGTCCTGGAAAGGTACAGATGGAAAGGATGAAAAGAATGGCATTGGCCGGGTGTGGTGGCTCACACCTGTAATCACTTTGGGAGGCCAAGGCGGGCAGATTACTTGAGGCCGGGAAGTCAAGCCTGGCCAACAGGGCGAAACCCTGACTCTACTAAAAATACAAAAATTAGCTGGGTGTTGGGGTACGTGCTGGTAATTCCAGTTACTTGGGAAGCAGAGGTTGCAGTGAGCCAAGATCATGCCACTGCATTCCAGCCTGGGCAGCAGAGCAAGACCTTGTTTCCAAAAAAAAGAATGACATTGGCTGCCATTTAATTGGGTGCTGGGGAGTCAGAATCGAATCAGACGTAGTCCTTATGTCACGTTTCTTATAGACCAGTGGGAAGGCAAACGCTCTACCACAAAATCAGCTCTACAGTTAAAACAGTAAAGCTGGCCAGGCATGGTGGCTCACGCCTGTAATCCCAGCACTTTGGGAGGCCGAGGTGGGTGGATCACGAGGTCAGGAGATTGAGACCATCCTGGCTAACATGGTGAAACCCTGTCTCTACTAAAAGTACCAAAAAAAAAAAAAAAAAATTAGCCAGGCGTGGTGGCGGGCGCCTGTAGTCCCAGCTACTCGGGAGGCTGAGGAAGGAGAATGGCGTGAACCTGGGAGGTGGAACTTGCGGTGAGCTGAGATTGCACTACTGCACTCCAGCCTGGGTGGCAGAGCGAGACTCAGTCTCAAAAAAAAAAAAAAAAAAAAAAAAAGTAAAGCCGTGGAAATCAAGTGCAACTCAAGCACAAAGGGAAATGAACAGAGGTGGTGTATCAGTCAACTGTTGTCACATATATGCTGTGTAACAAATGGCCATAATTCAGTGGCTTACTACTCTCAGCGTTTATCTTTGGCTCACGTGTCTGTAGATTTCTGGGGCAGCCCTGCCGATTTCAGCCGGACCTGGCTAGATGGCTCCTGGGCATGGGTTTGGTTAAGGTCTGTCCTGTCTCTCATTCTTCTGGGACCAATGGGCTACCCAGGGAGTAGCTGTGCTAGTGGCAATGGCAGAAGCACAAGAGGGTGAGCCGTGTCACCGAGCCCATGTCAAGGTGCAAGGGCCTGAACCCAGTGGGCCGGGCTCCAAGGCCTCCTGACCCCATGTCAAGGCTTTGCTGTTTGGTCGTATCTCCAGCATGTCACCGGCCAAAGCAAATCACGTAGCCGAGCCCGAGGGCAAAGGGGCTTGGGGGCAGCTGGCAAGGCCTGCCATTAGGTCTGCGGGTGCCTGTTTTCTGGGCTTGGGGGTCAAGTAGATGGGAGACACCTAGACGGATGGGAAATCTTTTTAAAAATGGGGGGGTAGAGCCTAGAGATCCCACAGTAGGAGGGGAGGGAAGTAAATATTTGCAAATGAGAATCCAAACCTCACAGAAGGCTTCACAGAGGAGGTGTCACTTGACCTAGGCCTGGAAGGAGAAGTTAGATTTTTCTAAGTGAAGATGGGTGTTGCACGGTGAGCAGGTGTATGCAAACCTAATCCCAAAGGCCGAGGGAGCTGAGAGGCTGAACACAGAGGCTGACAAATCCAGTTGCTTAGGAACATTTAATAGGGACTTAGAAACAAAAGCCATGTCTCGGGCAGCCAGGAGATGGTGGATCCCCACATTGTTGCCCCCCCGAGACCCAGGGCATATATACCATAGGGTTATGATAACATATTTATAGTGTTTACAGCACCACAGTTTTATGATACAGATTTACAGTGTTTATAATAACATATTTACAGTAAGTGTGTGCTCTTAACAGTAGATAAAAGTAGAAATCTTAAAGGCATTCCTGGAAGTGGGGTTAATCAGAAGTCAACATGACGCATTAGCACCCAGGAGGGAGTTGCTTTGGCCTCCAAGGTGGGATAGGGCACAGCTGTCAAAGGGTTGATGGGGAGGAGGCATTGAGGTCCCGCAGCCTGGCATGTCCTTTCCTTGAACACAGTACTTGGGACCCCACCCCAGTCATTTTATTTCCAAATTCTAAAACTTCAACTCTGTGTCACCAGATACAAGTTCAAGACACAGTGGTTTTTAGCAAGTCATCGTAATGGAGGGTACAGTGCTTTGTCCCTTTCCTGTAAATTCCATCGAGCCTGAGTCAGTTATATAGCCCACTCACTCCCATTTCAGAGTTCAGTCTCCAACCTTGCAGTCCAGCAGTGACATCCCTGTGACTGTGACCAACTCAGACCTTGAAAAGACTCCTTGATGACAAAGTCAAGGTA
Source organism: Homo sapiens (assembly GCF_000001405.40). Lineage (NCBI taxonomy): Eukaryota > Metazoa > Chordata > Mammalia > Primates > Hominidae > Homo > Homo sapiens. Next base: position 90,650,414 of record NC_000015.10, on the reverse strand, counting down.
GCCATGAGGTGAAGGAAAATAACCCAAGAATGGAAAAACCCATTCTAGAAGGACAGGCGGTGGAACAGGGAATCCATACACACACAACAGGCCAAACAATGGTGGGAACGATGGTTACAGGACAGGATGTAAGTAGTATAAACCTTGACAATGTAAAAACACGAACTCACAAAATTTGGGAGGGGGAAGGAGCTAGGAAGTGGTGGTGAGCTCATTTCCTTATCCTAAATCGTAGGTTGTCAAGAGATGCCATCTATAGTTGAAACATGCTGAAAGAATGAATCCAGCTGCTTAATATTTTTCTTTCCTTTAGAGAAATAATTTAGAACCAGAAGAAGCAGCGTCATTATTTGCAGCTTGGTAATTTCTTTAGTTACATTTAAGTTGCCTTTTGTTCTGTTAAATTTAAGTATGGCACTTTTTCTAAAAAGAGTATGTATTGTATGAGCCCATTTTGGTTAAAAAAACTCCTTTGAATATGTGCGTAGAGAGATGTCTCCATCCATGTTTCCTGGGTGTCAGCCATGATTATTTCTGGGGTGCTGGATTTCCGGACCACTTGAAATTTTTGTTTTTGGTACTCTTCGGTGTTACTTGAATTTCTTATAATGAGCATGCACTATTTTTATCAGAGCAAAGCTTTTTTAAAAAATTAAAATACATGTCTGGAAAAGAGAGAGAGAAAAAAAAAACACGTGTTCCTTTGCCAGGCTTCTATCTCACTGGGATCCGTGGGGACCCTTCCCAGAGGGGCTGCTCAGAGCCCACCTCTGCAGGGTGAAGGGTGCGATTCATTTCCGCACCCCTCACCCTGGTGATGGGCGTAGTCGGGGGCCGGGGGTGCACAGGGGAGGGAAACTTGTGAGCAGATCCTGAAGGATGCACTTTGGAGCCCTGGGTTCTGGGCTGGTGAGGTCAGGAGGCCTTGATGTGAGGCCCACTGGGTCCAGGCTTTGTGCCTTCACTGTTTAGTTGGGTGACAGAGCCTCTATGGGCCTGTTTCCTCTTCTGTAAACTCAAGAAGTCATCCTTGGCTAGGGGCAGTGGTTCACGCCTGTAATCCCGGCACTTTGGGAGGCCGAGGCAGGTGGATCACCCGAGGTCAAGAGTTTGAGACCAGCCTGGCCAACATGGTGAAACGCTATCTCTACGAAAAATACAAAAATCAGCCAGGTGTGCTGGCACATGCCTGTAATCCCAGCTACTCGGGAGGCTGAGGCAGGAGAATCACTTGAACGCGGGAGGCGGAGGTTGCAGTGAGCGAAGATCACACCACTGCACTCCAGCCTGGGCGACGGAACGAGACTCTGTCTCGGAAAAAAAAAAAAAAAAAAAAAAGAAGTCCTCCATGCCCTGCCTCGTTTTCAGGTTGATGTGAGGGATGTGTGTGGTGCTGTCACAGGGTTCAGCCTGGGAGGCCACATGGATTCCTGGCTTCATGCAGGAATTCAAAAGTAAGCTGACAAAGTGATAGCAAGTTTATTAAGAAAGTAAATGAATAAAAAAGGGGCTACCCCAGCAGCACGGGCTGCTCGACTCAGTAGACTTATGGTTATTTCTTGATCATACGGTAAATAAGGAGTGGATTATTTATGAGTTTTCCAGGAATGGGGTGGGAATTTCCTGGAACTGAGGGTTCCTCTTCCTTTTCGACCATATAGGGTAATTTCCGTACGTTGCCATGGCACTTGTGAACTGTCACGCGCTGCTGGGAGTGTCTTTTAGCAACTAATGTATTATAGTTAGTGAATAATGAACAGTGAGGACAACCAGAGGTCACTTTCGTCATCATCTTGGTTTTGGCGGGTTCTGGCAGTTTCTTTATTGCATCCTGTTTTATCAGTGTGATCTTTGTGATCTGTATCTTGTGCCTATCTCCTGTCTCCTCCTGTGACTTTGAATGCCTAACCTCCGGGGAATGCAGCCCAGCAGGTCTCAGCCTCATTTTACCCACAGCCCCTGTTCAAGATGGAGTCACTCTGGTTTGAATGCTTCTGACGGTGCAGTGTCTGGTAGTCTGGGTGGTCACTAAGGATACTTATTACTCCATATCATACAATTCAATTCTAGCCAACACCACTGCCAGCCCAGTTCAAGGGCTAAAGTTGAGGGGGTCCGGGGCTCTCTGTCCTGTTCTGGGTCCTAAGAGCCACTCTTATAGTTGCAGCTCCACCTAGTGTCCACATGAGGACATAGCAGCATATAGCTGGTTTATTGTAAACCCCAATTTCCATACCTGCCTACCATACAGCTTTATTAGGTAAAATGGACCAAAAAGATCTTTTTTTATTTTTATTTTTAATTTTTTTTGAGACAGAGTCTCGCTCTGTCACCCAGGTTGGAGTGCAGTGGTGTGATCTCTGCTCACTGCAACCTCTGCCTGCTGGGTTCAAGCAATTCTCCTGCCTCAGCCTCCCCAGTAGCTGGAATGACAGACGCCCACCCGGATAATTTTTGTATTTTTGGTAGAGATGGGGTTTCACCATGTTGTCTAGGCTGGTCTCGAACTCCTGACCTCAGGTGATCCTCCGGCTTCAGCCTCCCAAAGTGCTGGGATTACAGTCATGAGCCACTGTGCCTGGCCCAAAATAAGATCTAAAATCATTCCTTCCAGATCGAAAATTTAGTATTTCAAAACAAGTATACAAATTCAGTACTTTTCAAGATTAAAGTATCCTGTGTTTGAAAAGATGGCACAGGAGGAGGGGTGAGGAGAAGGAGGGGTGTGGAGGAGGAGGGGTGAGGAGGAGGAGGGGTGAGGAGGAGGGGTGTGGAGGATGAGGAGGGGTGTGAAGGGGGAGGGGGAGGGGTGTGAAGGGGGAGGGATGTGGAGCAGGAGGGTTGAGGAGGAGGGATGTGGAGAGGAGAAGGGGTGAGGAGGAGGGGGGTGAGGCGGAGGAGGGGTGTGGAGGATGAGGAGGGGTGTGGAGGAGGAGGGGTGAGGGAGGTGTGAGGCGGAGGAGGGGTGTGGAGGAGGAGGGGTGTGGTGGAGGAGAAGGGGTGAGGGGGAGGGGTGTGGAGGAGGATTGTGGAGGAGGAGGGGTGTGGAGGAGGATTGAGGAGGAGGGGTGTGGAGGAGGATTGTGGAGGAGGAGGGGTGTGGAGGAGGATTGTGGAGGAGGAGGGGTGTGGAGGAGGATTGAGGAGGAGGGGTGTGGAGGAGGATTGAGGAGGAGGGGTGTGGAGGAGGATTGTGGAGGAGGAGGGGTGTGGAGGAGGATTGTGGAGGAGCAGTGGGTGTAGAGGTGGAGGAGGGCTGTGGAATTTGGAGGGGTGTGGAGGAGAAGGAGGGCTTTGGAGGAGGGGTTGGAGGAGGAGGGGTGTGGAATAAGAGGAGGATTGTGGAGGAGGAGGGGTGAGGAGGAGGGTTGAGGAGGAGGAGGATTGTAGAGGGGGAGTGGGTGTGGAGGAGTTGGGGTGTGCAGGAGGAGGAGAGGTGAGGAAGAGGAGGTGTTTGGAGGACACCTGGTCTCCAGCTCCATGGCGGTGATGGGGGCTGAGCTCCAAGAGAAGGAAGCTGCTGTCAACAGTTCGGAAGAATTTGCGGATTTTTCGAGCCCCTACTGTGTGCCAGGTGCTGGGGAAGTGGCATACAAGTAAACATGCCCCTGTGCTTGCAGAGTTTGGAGCCCTGTGGGGAAGCTGGATGTCAATTGCAGGTGGACCCGGATCTCCAGAAAACAAGGGGTGGGGTGGGCATGAGCACTGGCTGATAGGCAGGTGGGGAGAGGGCTAAGTATGAGGGTCGTCTGCTTGGAGGGCTGGAGAAGTTGGTTTGGGAGGTCGATGGAAAGAAGATGATGGTGGAGGGGGAGGATGATAGGAGACAGGCATGGCCTGGGTGGTAGAATATGCAGAAAAGCCTTACTGGAGCCAGAGAGGATTTCGGAGGGGAGAGAGTGGCCAAAGGGTCAGGATGCGGCTGACATCAGAGGGCCTTGGACAGAGGCAGGAGAGTAGGGAATCCTGGAGGGCTCCCTGGGGCTGCGGGCAGAAGGAGGCTGAGCAGGAGTGCTCCTCCAGGAGAGGCAGGACACAGGGCTGTGGCATGAGGGGTAGCCGGCGGGGAAAGGAGAGTTTTCTGTTTGTTCTGAGGAAGGAGACTGGGCATCTTCACAGGCTGATGGGGAGGTGCCATCAGAGAGGGCTAAGTAGAAGGCCCTAGAACATCAGCAAGTCCTTGCGGAAGGTCAGGTTGACGTGGAAACAGGACCTCGTAAGGCATAGGGACGCTGGGGAAGGCGCGACGGGCCATGGGACGGAATGGGGAGCAGCTGGGACACGGCGGGAGCTGGCCCAGGTGGCCTGGATGGGAGGCAAGAAGGCCTCATGTGGTCTGATGAGCCTTGAGGAGAGGAGGGCGTGGGTGCCCCACGTGGCAGGAGAGGGCTGGGTCAGCACAGCCTGGAAGTGCTGGTTCTTCCCGCAGGGCTCCCAGCAACAGAAAGCTCAGCCCGAGTGACGTGGTGGCAGGTCTTGAGGAGGAAGAGTGGCGTGGTGGCAGGAGAAGGGGCCTGGGGGTGCCACGGAGGCCACGAGCCAGGTGGGCCCGGGCAGAAGCAAGGGAAGCTAGGAGAGGACGGGCAGGCTGAGAAGAGGGGACACGGAAGAATTCTCAGTGCGGTCAAAGAACAGGGTGTGTGTAGACCAGAGTGGAAATGGGGGCTCAGGAAGTTAAAGTCAGAAACAGGATTTCCAGGTAGGATTTCAGGAGACAGTCACCTTTATGACAAGTGCTAGATGTGGCTGTTCGCGTTGAACCCTGCTGGGATGGGGGTCTGGGGAAGGGACAGGGCTAGAGGCCAACCCAGGACAGAGTATCTGGTGGAGGAAGGGCCGTGGGCAGGGGTGTGGAGCGGGTGCTGGCTGTGGGGGCAGGAGACCCAGCTGCCTCCAGCTAAGGGAACTGAGTGCCCCTTCACGTATCACAAGAAGGCCTGACCCACAGCTGGTACAGGGCCTGCCTTGCCAAGGCTCCAAATCCTAGCTGCAGGCTGAGCCGTGCAGGAGGCGGTGAGATTAAGGCTCCCCACCAACCCCTCACCCAAGTGAAGAAAAACACCACCAAATGCAGAGACAACCTCATTGTGATGCTTTTAATTACAAAAGATGTAAAATGATGCATTATAAAACTTGGAAGCAACTTTATACAAATTCCAATTTTTAAATATGGTTGAACAGGGTGCCCTGGGGGTTAGGACACTGGCAGGAAGTCTGATTAGTTGCTGGGATGGTCCCATCCATGAAGCACTGGACACATGCTGGGAACCATCTGTGCATAAATCAGAAGAGCCAACAAGAGTGGGAACAGGAAAGGTCTGCAAATACGCATATGGACTTGAAGATACAACACCAGCTCAGGTAATATACAGCAGGCGGAGGAGAAATGAAACAGGAGAAACAGGACAAAGGAGAATTCATGACATGATCAAGAAACCCCTTCTCCTAACCCCCTATGTCCTAAAACCCACAACCATACAGAAAGAAAAAATGGAAATGCAGACAGGTTTTTAGTTCTATGCTGTTTAACTGCTGTAAGTGAGAGTAGTACAATGGTCGATTTCTTGTGACAAAACTAAATAATGAAAAATAGTTTACTCTGAAGTATGCAGCTGCTTCAAATGCTGAGGACCACAACTGGTTTTGTTACAAAGGCCGCAGTGAGTGCAGGCTCACGTGCTGTGGGCCAGGGCGACCCTGCCCGTGGTGAGTCCTCCACACCTTCTAGGCAGAGTGGGTTGTACGATGCCCAAAACCTTTCACAAGAAAAGATCGGACTCACTCATAGACCTAAGGACAAATTGAATTCAGTGCTAAACCATATTGCCCCCAGTGTACACCCCCAATAAATCACTTCCCCGGAGGTCTGTTTTCACAAGTCACCTGGAGAACGCCTTTGGGGCAGTAGGGTTCACTGTGTAGGTCTTGGGGTCTCTGTTGCCAGGCAGGGTGGCTGCTGTGCAGACAAACTGAACTGGGACCCGGATATGACGATACCCATGGGTAAGGCACTATGTGAAGAGTGACTATGCTGAGACCTCTGTTTTATAAAAACACAATTCTTGAAACATCAGCACCATCGCCTGTTGAGAGTGAGATCAGGTTTGGAAGCCCTTTGACACAGGAGCTGGTTTCTTTTGGCACATGGGGTGCTGGGTAGCATTGCGACTGAAGGCTCTTTAACAAAAAGCCACCCCCTCTGAGATCTTGAGCACAAAGGGATCTGAAAGTGTAACTGGGAACAGGGCAGGCCAGCAGGCCCTTCCTGAGCTGGAAATCAGGCGAGGAGGACTCTGGTTTGATTTCCCAATTCCACAGCAAAGATTTGGGGCAAATGTGAAACAGGAATACTTGGATTCCAGAGGAAGGTGGAGGGGCACCCCATGAGGGTTATTTTAAAGATGAGAGGCAAGGTCAGAAGATAGAAATGGAATGAGGTCGGGAGAGGCTAACCAGCCCAGGGTCTTGTGACCACGACTCCTTTTACATAAGGGACAGGTGTGCCAGATTCAGACCCTCATTGTACAGCCTTGCTCCTCTGGGTGGAACAGTCCAGCAACCCTCAGTACACTCCAGGGTCTCCTGGAAGGGCAATGGCTGTCCAAGCAAAGGTCCTGGCATCTTCCGTCTCTCCTTCAGGGTTCTCCTCCTCTCCACCCTGTCCTCTCACAGCCTAGACCCCCCCCTCCCCCTGCAGTGCTCTGCCCCCTTCAAACCTACTGGCATCACCCAAGTTAGAGGAGGCAGGCGGTGGTGGAAATCTGGCCCATCTATTTTATGAGAAGGTATTGATGACTAATGATGCTTCCATGAATTAGGCCTTCGTTTTACTATAAACTATTTTTTCAACCTCAAAGAATGAATCTCTACTTGAAGCAATTTAGAGCCAAACGTGGATCTGAGAAGGAAGATCTTCCTGGGTGGGGCCCAGCCAGGATGCTCAGGGCACTCACCTGCTCAGCCCTTCCGGATGTACTCAGAAGACAGCTCCCACCCACCCGCGTGGAGCACAGCCCAAGGAGAATGCAGTGCCCGGCTTCACTGTGATTTGGTCACCTAGTGTTAAAAGCATATTAAAGTGCATGCTTCACCATAGGCACGAGTGCTAGAAAAGCTAAAGCTCTGAGAAGATCTGGCAGGGAAGGGGATAGCTACAGGTGAGCCTGCCTTACGGCATGGCGGACGCACTCATTCATCATGCGCTGCACGCACGGTTCTGCAGCACTCACTCCAGCACACGACTGTGCTGCCACGCACGTGTTAGGTGCTACGGGTTCAACAATGATAAGGCACTGTCCCTGCCCTCAAGGAGCTTACGGTCTAGGGGGGTGACATTAGACTCCCAGCCCACAGAGACACAGCTCTGGGGAGGGATGGGGAAGCTCAGTTGCTCGGTGGGTGGGGTTAGGGCCTCACCAGCTCCCTCTGGCTGCTCTTAGTGGGGAGGTCTGTGCTTGTCTGGAGTTTGTCTGGAGGCCACTGAGTATGAGACACCTGCAGTCCCTGTCTTCCTTCCCCAGCCCCCGAGGAGGAGCACAGTTCTCTTCAGGCTCATCAGTGCCAGGGGACTCTTTTCAGTGACTGATAAAATGGTCTTCCTCTTCCTCTGGTCCATAAGGAAAAGGTGTACTTTTCTGAAGCAGCAGAAACCAGCTGGGAGAAAATGAAAATTAGCCTTCAGTCTGCCTAACTCAAGCCTGCCCTCGGGCTTGTGGTAAAAACTTCATGTCGTAATCCAGGCGTGGGAGAGAGCCGTGGGGTCCACTCAGCCTGGGAATGTCCCCCGCTGGAGGGCCTCGCCCTCTGGGTCAGGTCAGAGCAGGCATCGAGGTGCCCTCTCCGGTGCCGCCGCCCCAGGCCGAGCCTCCCACTCCGGGCCCGCCTTCGGTGCGGACGGAGATCAGTGGTTCTGAGCACACTACACAATGCTACGGAGGCCTCCAGTGACACAGTATTTCCTACTCTTACACATCGGCTGACTGGATGGCCAGTAAAAAGATGCAGTGGAGGTGAGCTTTCCAGTTCATGGGAAGCTCCAAGCAGCCTGCCTGCTGCAACACGACTTTGGCCACAGGCGGGAGAGGCAGTACAAAGCTGTGTGATCTGGAGGAAGCCACAGTGTCTGAGATGGGATCTCATCTGAAACCCTGGAGCCGTGGCATTGCTTCCTTCTATGTCAAGATAACGAAAGCCCGTGGTATCAGCTGGCTTCATTCTATTCCATTCTATTTTGGCTGTTGCAGAAAAACATTCTTCTGTTCCACTGCCTTCTGTTCACAGTCTGTCAGCTCGAAACGTCTCTTCAACAGAGGGGTCCAGCAGGCCCATGCTGGAGTCACTTAACATGTTGAGTCCGTCCAGGCTCAGGGGTTCAATCTGCAGCTCCTCTTCCAGTGGAAATGGAGTGTCCACGTTCAGGCTGACCTCAGGCAGGCCTGCCAGCGCACTGTTGAGGTCTTTGAACAGGCTGGTGCTGGAGTCTTCTGAAAGGAGTGGCCAGAGGGGAAAACAGTGCGGTTAGGAGGCGCGAAGGCTCCAGGCTACTAAGCAAACCCAGCTGATGACAGTCCCCTAAACTGCTATCCCACACATCCTGACCACCCCCAGGCCCACAGTTCTTGCCCTGGAATCTACATTCTTGTCAGTCAGTTGCACAACTCCCAATTTTTGCAGGTTTTTTCCTTTTGAACAGTCATCAGTCACCTAAGATGAAATCTTTTTTTTTTTTTGGAGACTGTTGCCCAGGCTGGAGTACAGTGGCACAATCTCGGCTCACTGCAAGCTCCACCTCCTGGGTTGGTGCCATTCTGCCTCAGCCTCCCGAGTAGCTGAGACCACAGGCGCCCGCCGCCATGCCCAGCTAATTTTTTTTGTATTTTTTAGTAGAGACGGGGTTTCGCTGTGTTAGCCAGAATGGTCTCGATCTCCTGACCTGATGATCCGCCCACCTCGGCCTCCCAAAGTGCTGGGATTACAGGCGTGAGCCACCGCACTGGGCCAGATGAAATCTTTCAGAAAAGGCTTTGACTACCAGGCCCACCGCCCTGTGTCACGGTCTCTGAGGCTGGACACCTGCATCTCAAAAAGTCAAGTCGACCCAGGGAACGTTAACTTTTTGCTTTATATAATATTATGTTGTTTAAACTCTCTTATGAAGGTTCCTGAACACACAACAACATAAAAGCAGTAAAGAAGCTGAGGGATAGCTCGCTCACCTGGCAGGATGGTGTTCGGGAGACTCCCGCAGTTGGAATACGGGCTTGGTCTCAAATGAAAAGAGTCCTGCAGTTCTCGGGAACCTTGTTGCACCAGAGGCACCTGGAAGCATCGAAGGTCATGTGAGGAAGGCCACACCTCTGTTTCCAAGGAGGAAGTGAGTATTGCAATGTGCTCCCAGAGCAAAACCTGACTTGCAAACTAATCCATATTCCCTTCTTTCCAGGATCCCAGAGTGCTTTGCTCTTATGGTAATGCATGCACAATATTCTTGTCAGGCAGGCAGACGCTGGGGTGGAGGAGGGGTCCCTGAGGTCCACAGCGTGGTGACTTTTCCCCAGCCCACTACACCATCCCAAGAGACACCAATGCTCATGGTTTCTGTGGCCCCTCAGACATCTGTCCTCAGCCTCACCAAGGCCTTTGCAAACTGCCTTCTGTGGGAACCCTTCAAAGGCTCTGTCTATAACCAAGGAAGTATGGACTCTTCTTCCTTGGTTTCTTTCTTCTTTTTTTTTTTAAAGATAGGGTCTCTGTTGCCCAGGCTGGAGTGCAATGGCGCCATCTCGGCTCACTGAAACCTCCAGCTCCCAGGCTCAAGCAATCCGTCCACCTTAGCCTCCCAAATAGCTGGGACCACATGCCACCATGCCTGGCTAATTTTTGTATTTTTTTTAGAGACAGGGTCTTGCTGTATTTTACCCAGGCTGGTCTCAAACTCCTGAGTTCAAGTAAGCCACTGGCCTTGGCCTCCCAAAGTGCTGGGATTATGGGTGTGAGCCACTGCACCTGGCCTCTTCCCTGGTTTCTAGAAAACTGAGAAAGGGGAAGGCTTTCCTTTTCACACTCAGAAGGAGGAAACTCAGGCAAGCTCCTCCCTATGAGAAAGCCTCTATGAGGACTGGTTATAACCAGTGCCAATTTTAGGTTCCTTTCCTGAAATTAATTTTCTAAGCCATTTTAAAAAAAGTCTCAAAAGAAGTGTCTATCATTTTTCAGGGAGACGGTGATTCCCACCTAGACTAAAATGGCTCTTTGGGAAACAGGGAGGCAAGGAGGATTGGTTCTTGCCACAAAGCTTCATCTGTGGCCTGCTTAGGAAACAGCTATCTTAATTTATTTTATTATTATTATTTTATTTACTTATTTTGAGACAGAGTCTTGCTTTGTTGTCCAGACTGAAGTGCAGTGGTGCGATCTCAGCTCACTGCAAGCTCCGCCTCCCGGCTTCACGCCATTCTCCTGCCTCAGCCTCCCGAGTAGCTGGGACTACAGGTGCCTGCCACCACGCCCAGCTAATTTTTTTGTATTTTTTAGTAGAGACAAGGTTTCACCGTGTTAGCCAGGATGGTCTCGATCTCCTGACCTCATGATCCGCCCGCCTCGGCCTCCCAAACTGCTGGGATTACAGGCGTGAGCCACTATGCCCAGCTATTTTATTAAGTTCTTGGCTGGGCACAGTGGCTCGCACCTGTAATCCCAGCACTTTGGGAGGCCAAGGCGGGTGGATCACTTGAGGTCCGGAGTTCAAGATTAGCCTGGTCAACAAAGTGAAACCCCATCTCTACTAAAAATATAAAATTTAGCCAGGTGTAGGGGTACATGCCTGTAACCCCAATTACTCAGGAGTCTGAGACATGAGAATCACTTGAACCCAGGAGGTGGAGGTTGCAGTAAGCCGAGATCACGCCACTGCACTCCAGCCTAGGCGACAGATTAAGATTCTGTCTCAAAAAAAAAAAAAAAAAAAAGTTCTGGAACCTGTTCAACCCTTCTTCCACTCCTTAATCCATCGGAGGGCCCAGTCCATACTTATTGAATACTATTGAATACTATAAAATCTAGAATATTAAAAATAGTCAATGTTAGGAAAAAACTAAACTGTAAAAGAAAGTGGCCGAGTTGAAAATACCTTACGGAACGCACTCCCCTCACTCCCCAGGACTGAGCTCTCCCCAGGAGGCCCCACGCTGTGCTGGGTGCACCAGCCTGGGTGCAGGCCAAATGCGGCGCCACCTTCTGACTCTGCGGTGGGAGCAGGCGCCACTCTCCCTATGCCTCAGTTTCAACATGAGGGCGCTGAGGAGGCAGGTGCTGTGTCCCTTCCAGTGTTCATGATTTTACAGTTCTACAACGAGAGTGTCATCAAAAGTCTCCTGCCGATTGTTCCAATAGTTCCTCTGCTGAAGCCTGATACTAAATAAGGCAGCCAGAGAAAGCATTTTAGGGCCAAAGAAGATGAAAGGCTCTTCTAGCCACAGAACACAACCAGAACCAGGAAAGTGGCATGTCTGGTCTGCTCAGTTCTGAATTCTACAGAATGAACAACCTAAATGGTACAGTTTATGCACCAAGGGAGGAGAAGGCAGGGGCGATCACCCACCTGTTGAGGAAAGGCAGGGCCTGGCCTCATGGACTGCTGGTCAAAACCCACATCTGGGAAGAAGTTGGTCAAAGATGAGCCCTTCAGGGAATAAGGAGATGATCATTTAGCTTGGAACTCAGAGCAAAACAAGCATTCCCTCTGCACCAACGCTCCTGCCAGAACTCACCTGGGCCGGGAGAAGCTGAAAGTCTGACTGTGGCAGTGAGGAGGCTGCCTGGGGCTGCTGGGCAGGGGCCTCAGGGGCGCGGGGCTGCTGCAGGAGGGGCTGGGTGAGCTCCTGGGGTGCAGGGTAAGGGGGTGGCGGCGACACCTGGGCTTGAGCTTCTGTGGGCAGAAAGGAAAGTTGGCTTCGGTCTGAGGACACCATCTGCAAAACAAACACACAAAGCCACTAATGAGCTTCTGCGTTTCTGGCGTTAAGTCCTTTAGGATTAGGAAATGTCAGAGTGAGAGGAAGCCTGAGATTTTCCTCACCGCGGTGTTCTGTGCAATGCTGTGAGAAGCCCGTTTCTCATCCTTCAAAGTATATCTCAAATTTTACTTCCCCACAAAGCATGTTCCATTCAATGACAAGTTCTATTGTCTTAAAAGAACTAAACAAGAAAACAGCCAATTTAACCAATTTCCTTTCAGTTTTCTCCGTGAAAATCATGTTTTGTTTTGTTTTATAGCCGTGTCTTCTGGTTAAAAGTGGAAAATTGAAAAAGGCCCTTAGCTCTGTCATCCCCAAATCCTGTTAAAACAAGACACTACAACATTAACAAGCAATAAGCATTAATAAAAAACACTAAACAACAGCACAGAACACTAAATGATAACAAACAACACGAGGACAAAGATAACGGGAGAGAAGAAAATGGCAACAAAAGCTGGAAAATGAGCAGCAGATGGCCCGGTGGCAGCTGGCTTAGCAGAGCTGAGAAAACCCGATGCTAGGCTGGCAGTGAGGAAAAACCAGGAGGCAATCTCACTGACAGCACTCAGTCCCCACAGGGCTCTGGGACTGGGGACAGCAGGGAGCAGGCGGTGAAGCTAAAACCAGGAGATTCTGGTCACAGTTTGTGTAAGGGGCAGTTGGACCTGCAGAGCCCTTGCCTTGAGTGTGCTTCTGCGCACTGGCCCCCACCATCCTGCCACCTGCCAGGAGACTGGAAGGTTCTACTTTCGAGATAATAAAACTAAGGGTCTCTGGATATTAGAAGGTGAGGCACTTTACTGAAAACACAGGGTTTAGAAGAAATTTCTTTTTCTTTAATATTTTATTTTTTTAAGTTCTAGGGTACATGTGCACAACATGCAGGTTTGTTACATATGTATACACGTGCCATGTTGGTGTGCTACACCCATTAACTCGTCATTTACGTTAGGTATATCTCCCAATGCTATCCCTCCCCCTTCCCCGCATCCCACAACAGGCCCCGGTGTGTGATGTTCCCCTTCCTGTGTCCATGTGTTCTCATTGTTCAATTCCCACCTATGAGTGAGAATATGTGGTGTTTGGTTTTTTGTCCTTGCGACAGTTTGCTGAGAATGATGGTTTCCAGCTTCATCCATGTCCCTACAAAGGACATGAACTCATCATTTTTTATGGCTGCATAGTATTCCATGGTGTATATGTGCCACATTTTCTTAATCCAGTCTATCGTTGTTGGACATCTGGCTTGGTTCCAAGTCTTTGCTATTGTGAATAGTGCTGCAATAAACATATGTGTGCATGTGTTTTTATAGCAGCATGATTTATAATCCTTTGGGTATATACCCAGTAATGGGATGGCTGGGTCAAATGGTATTTCTAGTTCAAGATCCCTAAGGAATCGCCACACTGACTTCCACAATGGTTGAACTAGTTTACAGTCCCACCAACAGTGTAAAAGTGTTCCTATTTCTCCACATCCTCTCCAGCACCTGTTGTTTCCTGACTTTTTAATGATTGCCATTCTAACTGGTGTGAGATGGTACCTCATTGTGGTTTTGATTTGCATTTCTCTGATGGCCAGTGATGATGAGCATTTTTTCATGTGTCTTTTAGCTGCATAAATGTCTTCTTTTGAAGAGTGTCTGTTCATATCCTTCGCCCACTTTTTGATGGGGTTGTTTGTTTTTTTCTTGTAAATTTGAGTTCTTTGTAGATTCTGGATATTAGCCCTTTGTCAGATGAGTAGATTGCAAAAATTTTCTCCCATTCTGTAGTTTGCCTGTTCACTCTGATGGTAGTTTCTTTTGCTGTGCAGAAGCTCTTTAGTTTAATTAGATCCCATTTGTTAATTTTGGCTTTTGTTGCCATTGCTTTTGGTGTTTTAGACATGAAGTCCTTGCCCATGCCTATGTCCTGAATGGTATTGCCTAGGTTTTCTTCTAGGGTTTTTATGGTTTTAGGTCTAACATTTAAGTCTTTAATCCATCTTGAATTAATTTTTGTATAAGGTGTAAGGAAGGGATCCAGTTTCAGCTTTCTACGTATGGCTAGCCAGTTTTCCCAGCACCATTTATTAAATAGGGAATCCTTTCCCCATTTCTTGTTTTTGTCAGGTTTGTCAAAGATCAGATGGTTGTAGATATGTGGCATTATATCTGAGGGCTCTGTTCTGTTCCATTGGTCTATATCTCTGTTTTGGTACCAGTACCATGCTGTTTTGGTTACTGTAGCCTTGTAGTATAGTTTGAAGTCAGGTAGCATGATGCCTCCAGCTTTGTTCTTTTGGCTTAGGATTGACTTGGCAATGTGGGCTCTTTTTCGGTTCCATATGAACTTTAAAGTAGTTTTTTCCAATTCTGTGAAGAAAGTCATTGGTAGCTTGATGGGGATGGCATTGAATCTATAAATTACCTTGGGCAGTATGGCCATTTTCACAATATTGATTCTTCCTACCCATGAGCATGGAATGTTCTTCCATTTGTTTGTATCCTCTTTTATTTCATTGAGCAGTGGTTTGTAGTTCTCCTTGAAGAGGTCCTTCACATCCCTTATAAGTTGGATTCCTAGGTATTTTATTCTTTAGAAGAAATTTCACGATCGAATCTTAAGATCTCCACCTTTCTTTCCCAACCCGGCTCACAGGATGCCGGAATCCTGATATGCCGAGGTGCGACATTGGAAGAGTGTCCTTTAGGGAACCTGACAAGGCCTGAAGAGAGAAAATCTTTTTTTCTGGAGACAGAGTTTTTCTGGAGACAGAGTCTTGCTCTGTCACCCAAGCTGGAGTGCAGTGGCATGACCTTGGCTCACTGCAACCTCCACCTCCTGGGTTCAAGCAATTCTCCTGCCTCAGTCTCCCGAGTAGCTGAGATTACAGGAGCATGCTAACACGCCTGGCTAATTTTTGTATTTTTAGTAGAGACGGGGTTTCACCATGTTGGCCAGGCTGGTCTCGAACTCCTGACCTCAGGTGATCCACCCGCCTCGGCCTCCCAAAGTGCTGAGATTACAGGTGTGAGCCACCACGCCTGGCCAGAGAAGAATGTAAAACTTATGACACCAGGAGTTTCCCAAGGAAATGACCAAGCTAGATCATTCTACAATGAAGACCACACTCAGCAGGCCTGCCCACATACACAGAGCTGCCAGCCAGCTTCTCAGTGTCCTTTTTTTTTTCTCATTTACATATTTTTATTTGGAAATGTTTATATCAGTACAAGGAAACAATTTTGGAGACACTGGATGTCATTAGTTATCATTAGTTTATTATAAGAAATATGGAAATTATTTACATGATGAAAGATTTCAGAACTTCAGTGGAATGGGCAGCTTCACACTGATGCCATTTCAGTAGTGACTTATTTCAGTCTATGTACTTTCCAAGAATGTCACCATCTCTAAATAGGAAATAATCCTTGTCATCTAGAACTACTTTGGTGCCTCCATATTCTGGGAGAAGAACTTTATCTCCAACTTTCACGCTAACTGGTTGAATCTCTCCAGCCTTACCTTTAGAACCCGATCCAACAGTGACTACTGTTGCTTGCAATACTTTTCCTTGAGATTTTTCTGGAAGCAAAATGCCTCCTTTGGTTACAGTTTTAGCAGCGCTCCTTCCAACCAATACTCAGTCAGAGAGTGGAAAAAACTTTCTACACGCTTGTCCTGCCATGACTCCCTTCGCCTCAGTCTCATACTCCGCTCTAGTGTAGAGCCGCAAGGAGACAGCCCCTCAGTGTCCTGTTCTTAAACATGAGCAGAGCACTGAGGATCACCAGGCCCTGAGGAAACCATCTGCCGTGAAAGTCAGAGGCCAGAGCAGACACACACAATCTTGGAAAGATGTGTGCAGGAAGAAGTAGTTGTGAAAAACCAAAATCAGCATGACAATATTTAGGCTACTAAGAAAATCCTTATCTATTAGAGATACATATTAAAATATCTGCAATTTTTAAAAGCAGGGTATGGATGAAACAAGATAACAAGGCTGGCGTGCTGGCTCACGCCTGTAATCTCAGACTTTGGGAGGCTGAGGTGGGTGGATCACCTGAGGTCAGGAGTTTGAAACCAGCCTGGCCAACATGGTGAAATCCCGTCTCTACTAAAAATTACAAAAATTAGCCAGGTGTGGTGGTGTGCACCTGTAGTCCCAGCTATTCGGGAGGCTGAGGCCAGGAGAATGGTTTGAACCTGGATGGCGGAGGTTACAATGAGCCGAGATCACACCACTGCACTCCAGCCTGGGCAACAGAGCAAGACCCTGTCTCAAAAAAAAAAAATTAATTGTTGAGGGTAAATGATGGGTATAGGAGGACTTATTGTATTATGTTCTCTACTTTTATGCAATTTAGGAAAATTCTATTATAGAAAATAAAGATAAATTCGAAAAAAAAAGACCACTAAAAACCTGAGAGATAAAAGATGATATTGCATCTGTGGAATAAGTATGATGCTATTAAAAAAGAACACTCAGAGAACAAAAAAGAACTCATAGCAATTTAAAAATGAGAGCAGAAATGGAAAACTCAACAGAAGTGTTGGAAGATAAAGCTGAGACAATCTTCCAGAAAGCAAAGCAAAACAAACAAACAAGGAAGCAACCACAGAGAAGCAAAAGAGGAGAGAGAGAAGATAAGGATAATAGAGGAAAAGTCCAGGATAGTCAACATTCGTAGAGTTCCAGAGAGAAAGAACAGAGAAAACTGAAGGGAAGAAATCATTGAAGAAATAAAGAACATTTCCCAGAAATGAAGGCTGTGAGTTTCCAGATTGAAGGAACCCACCAAATATGCAGACTCACGCCAAGCCACATCATCTTGAAGTTTCAGAACACTGGGGACAAAAAGATCTCACAAGCCTGGGGTGGAGCAGGGGGATTCCATGCAAAGTGTTAAGAGTCCGAATGGCACTGGATTTCTCAATGCAACTTACAAATGAATAGGCAATAGATGCCAAGGGAAAATTATTTCAAATTTAGAATTCTATATTCAGCCAAATAATAATTAAATGGCAGATCAAATAAAGACATTTTAAGTCATACAAAGTCACAGGCACTCTTTGCTATAGAGCTACTAGAGAATTTAGTTTTGAATGTGTCGAGAGGAGATCTGCCCAACTCCAAGAGTTGGGGACTGAATTAGTCATACACATAGATACATATAGATAACCAGGCTAATAAAAAAAGTCAGACATTTATTAACTCCCAAGAGGAAAAAAAATTCTCATTTTCTTGTTTCATAGTATACTATATGTCAACTCTGACTACATTGTAACTATAAAAACACTAAATATTGAGTATTGCTCTAACCAAAATTATAATAAATGAGGAGGGTGGGTAGGAAATTGTGTGTGCACATGTGCGCACATATGTGTGTGGTGGAGTCTGTGGGAGAGTGGAAAGAGAATTAAATTCTAATCTTCATTGGTAGGATGTCATTAGATAATGCCTAACACCAAAAATGTAGAACAAAAAAAGCATAAAACAACATGGTTAGGCTGGGTGAGGTGGCTCATGCCTGTAATCCAGCACTTTGGGACGCCGAGGCGGGCAGACTGCCTGAGGTCAGGAGTTCGAAACCAGCCTGGCTAACATGGTAAAACCCTGTATCTACTAAAAATACAAAAAGTAGCCAGGCGTCGTGGCACATGCCTGTAGTCCCAGCTACTTAGGAAGCTGAGGCAGGAAAATCGCTTGAACCTGGGAGGTGGAGGTTTCAGTGAGTTGAGATCGCACCACTACACCCCAGCCTGGGTGACAGAGCAAGACTCTGTCTCAAAATAATAATAACATGGTTATACCAAAGAGATTAGTTAAAATGGTTGACAGCCATCTCTAGGCAGTGAGGAATATGCCTAACGAGAGGGAAAGACAGCTGTTTTTCTATAACAAGCCCTTTAGAACTATTTTACTTTTTAAACTATGTGCATGAATAACATTCACTTTTTAAAATTTCCTTTTTTTAAGAGATAGATAGGGTGTCACTATGTTGCCAAGGCTGGTCTTGAACTCCGGGCCTTAAGCAATCCTCCAGTCTCTGCCTCCTGAGTAGCTGGGATTACAGTCAGAACAACTGTGTCCAGCAACATTCATTTAAAAAAAATCTAAATATTAAACAAATTAAAAACACATCTGAAAGGGGACACTCTGGCCATACAGTCTCCTTAAAATGTAGCTAAAAAGCAAGAATACTTTTAGATCTTATAAAATAATCTTGCAAAATAAAATTAAAGGTAATTCAATAACATAAGAACCACGAAAACAATAATTATGGACTAGCCTGGGCAATATGGTGAAACCCCATCTCTACAAAAAAAAAAAAATACAAAAATTAGTCGGGTGTGATGGTATACACCTGTAGTCCTATGTGCTTGGGAGGTTAAGGTGGGAGGATCACCTGAGCTCAGGGAGTTCAAGGCTGCAGTGAGCTGTGATCGCGCCACTGCACTCGAGCCTGGGTGACAGAGTGAAACGCTGTCTCTAAAAAAAAATAAAAATTATGGCAGGGCACAGTGGCTCATGCCTGGCACAAGGCACACTGGCTAATTCCAGCCCTTTGGGAGGCTGAGGTGCGAGGATCACTTGAGCTCAGGAGTTTAAGACCAGCCTGGAAAACATAGGGAGACCCTATTTCTTTCTTTTCTTTTTTTAATTCTAATTTTTTTTTTTTTTTGAGACAGAGTAACTCTGTCACCCAGGCTGGAGTGCAGTGGTGCAATCCTGGCTCACTGCAAACTTCCACCTCCAGGGTGCAAGCAATTCTCACGTCGCAGCATCCTGAGTAGGTGGGATTACAGGCGTGTGCCACCATGCCCGGTTAATTTTTGTATTTTTAGTAGAGATGGGGTTTCGTCATGTTAACCAGGCTGGACTCAAACTCCTACCCTCAAGTGATCCGTCTGCCTTGGACTCCCAAAGTGCTGGATTACAGGTGTGAGGCACACACCCAGCCCAGGGAGACCCTGTTTCTACAAAAAAATTAAAAAAATTAGCTGGGTGTGGTGACATGGGCCTGTAGTCACATTTACTTGAAGAATCCCAGCTGAGGCAGGAGGATCACTTGGGCCCAGGAATTCAAGGCAAGGGAGCCGCGATCGTGCCATTGTGCTCCAGCTTGGGCGACAGAGTGAGACTTAAAAATTATGAAATGTCCTCTCACCCTCGCCCAAAAGAGATCACTCATACGATCAACACGCCACGGCTAGTAATTGGTAAAGAGTGACCAATAACAAGATCCTCTAACTCTCCGTTGTGTTCTGTCAACTCTTCCTTCTAAATCATTAATTTATGGCGAGGTGGTGAGTAGTTAATGATGCTGTAATAGGCCGGGCGCGGTGGCTCACGCCTGTAATCCCAGCACTTTGGGAGGCCGAGGCGGGTGGATCATGAGGTCAGGAGATCGAGACCATCCTGGCTAACAAGGTGAAACCCCGTCTCTACTAAAAATACAAAAAATTAGCCGGGCACGGTGGCGGGCGCCTGTAGTCCCAGCTACTCGGGAGGCTGAGGCAGGAGAATGGCGTGAACCCGGGAAGCGGAGCTTGCAGTGAGCCGAGATTGCGCCACTGCAGTCCGCAGTCCGACCTGGGCGACAGAGCGAGACTCCGTCTCAAAAAAAAAAAAAAAAAAAAAAAAAAAAAAAATGATGCTGTAATAGACAGAGGATGTGACAAAAGGTTGAAAACACATTCCTCGATGATTATGGTATAAGGAGAACCACCTCTGAGTTTAGAATTTATAGGATGTTTCAACCCCTGTGTTTCTATAATGGGCTTTTCTTTTCTTTTGAGACAGGGTCTCACTCTGTTGCCAGGCTACAGTGCAGTGAGGCTATCTTGGCTCACTGCAGCCTCGACCTCCTGGGCTCAAGTGAGCCTCCCACCTCCGCTCTGGAGTAGCTGGGACTACAGGCGTGTGCCACCACACCCAGCTAATTTTTCCATTTTTTGTATGGGTGGGTGACTTTTAAATGTGCCTCTTTCTCAACAGACTTCTTTTCATCCTTATAAGAGATATAATCCTCAACATACTTAGCATTTCATGAACAATAAAAGTATTGTTTCTCAAATCTGTAGACAATTAGGGAAGAGGTCTAATTCATTATCAAAGCTTCAGGAAGGTATTAAATGTTTTCTTTGGCTTTCCCCTATGGCTTAATGTACTTAGAGAGTCAATGACTGATTTTCCATGCCAACTTTGAAATCCTAACCTGGTTTCCCTCAGTTGCCTTAGACTTACCTGGATGGCATTCTCTATATCCTACCGTTCCTCTCAACCCCAAGTTTGTGAGTTAGTGACTACAGATTGTTCAACATTTGCTTAAAGAGTAATCAACACAGCAAATCTGCTATTATTATAATAAAAAATCATTAATTAGGCTGGGTGCAGTGGCTCATGCCTGTAATCCCAGCACTTTGGGAGGCCACGCTGGGAGGATGGCTTGAGTCCAGGCATTTGAGACCAGCTTGGGCAACATATCGAGAACTTGTCTCTACAAAAAAATCAAAAAATTAGTCAGGTATGGTGGTGCATGCCTGTGGTCCCAGCTACTCCGAAGACTAAGGTGAGAAGATCGCTTGAGCCCGGGAGGTGAGGCTGCAGTGAGCCGCGATTGTGCCACTGCACTCCAGCCTGGGCAACAGAGTGAGACCCTTTCTCAAAAAAAGAAAAGAAAATCATGAATTCATTCTGCATTATTGACACTTCTGCTCTGATTTCACATATAAGAGCGAACAGACTGCACTTGAGACCTCATGGGTGCTTGGTGTAATAATGAGTGTAACCCAAAATAGTAAAGAGGAGGAATGCACTTCCTATATCTTGCAGTCTGTTTCACTGTAGTGGTTGGTCTGTCTGTGTGTGTTTACCTGGGAGGTAGGATATGGGGCCAGTGGGCTGGTTGAAGACAGCTGTCTGCTGAAACCTTGATGTGCTTCAGGGCCAGGAGAAAGCGTGAGAGGGCTGACGGGAGGCTGCCGACGCCGAGACGGGCCGCTCAGGTTTGTGGTGGAAAGAGATGGGTTGCTAAGGGAAAACAGACGGAGCGAAGGGTGAAGAGCAGATGCGTTGGGAACAGATGTCTGTGGGTGGTTATTTAAGGAAGAGGAAAGCACAGTCTTATTGAGCGTGGCTTGGATGGAGGGGTTACTCCGAGAACTCTGGAGACCTGGAAGACAACAAATTCACAAGTTACTTATAATTTCAGACCAAATCTTTTGTATTCCAAAAATGAAAGAAAACTGTCTACTGTCACATGCGATGATGATTCTGTAGGTAAAGGAGCTCCTGGACAGCTCTCCTACAGGGACTGCATCCGATGCACCAATGGCAAGGAAAAGATGCCCCTGCACTAACAGAGATGGGGCCACAAAGATGACAACGATGTTTTCCCATGAGGAGGGAGATCACGTCAACAACCCCTAGGTGAGCAAAACTAGGTAAACCGGGGTAACAGAGGCAAATATTCCAGGTGCTCGGCCCAGACCCAGGGAAAGGACCCTAGGGCTGTACAACAAATTCTGTTTAGAGCCCCGGAAGGTCTCTGTCCCAAGCACACTGCCTGCATCCCCTGCTACCTTTGGAGAACATCCTTCCACGGCGAGTCATGGCCCTTGGGGAGCTGTCTTGGTGGTCTTTAATTACCCTTAGCACACTAGGGAGTCACAGGAAGGGACACTTCCCTGTATCTCCCACCCCAGGGTCCCTCTTTGATTTTCTGGTTCCCAGGAAATTGTTCATCACAGTCTATACCAACTCAGGGAAAAGGAAGTTTTTGCTGGTGCTTTATTTGGGGGACAGGGGTGAATTTGATCATGAGCAAGGAAATTTGGGAGAGAGATCTTTGCAGCATAGGCTGCTAGGGCATGAGCTCCCAGAAACTGGGGATCCTGTCCTATGCCCTGCTGGATCCTCAGCACCTGGCACAGGGCCTGGCATGGAGCAGGTTCGCCCAGTGAATCAATTATTCGGCTGCTGCTGCTGTGTGTATCTCAACTGGCAATACCTACGTTTTAACCTTCAGCCCATCTTTCTTGTACCAGCAGGTGGGGTAAGCAGAACTATGTGTTGTTTCGTGTTGACAAAAAATTTAAGTGTTTGATAAAAGTTACGAAAAGGAAGAAATGACAAAAATCCAGCAGCTGGCAAAATTATTATTATCACTATTATTATTATTATTTTTTTTGAGACAGAGTCTCGCTCTGTCACCCAGGCTGGAGTGCAGTGACATGATCTCAGCTCACTGCAAGCTCCGTCTCCCGGGTTCACGCCATTCTCCTGCCTCAGCCTCCCAAGTAGCTGGGACTACAGGCATGTGCCGCCACGCCTGGTTAATTTTTTGTAATTTTAGTAGAGATGGGGTTTCACCGTGTTAGCCAGGATGGTCTCGATCTCCTGACCTCGTGATCCACTCGCCTCGGCCTCCCAAAGTGCCGGGATTACAGGAGTGAGCCACCGCACCCAGCCTAAAATTCTTAAAAATAATTTTGCCGGCTGGGCGTGGCTCACGCCTGTAATCCCGGCACTTTGGGAGGCCGAGGCGGGTGGATCATGAGGTCAGGAGATCAAGACCATCCTGGCTAACAAGGTGAAACCCCGTCTCTACTAAAAAAATTAGCCGGGCGTGGTGGCAGGTGCCTGTAGTCCCAGCTACTGGGGAGGCTGAGGCAGGAGAATGGCGTGAACCTAGGAGGCAGAGCTTGCAGTGAGCCGAGATGGCGCCACTGCACTCCAGCCTGGGCGACACAGCAAGAGTCTGTCTCAAAAAGAAAAAAAAAAAAGAAAATACAGAAACTGACATTGGTTCTGACATGTTCTGGATAAAATAGTGCTTTTTTGAGAAGACAACCAGTGACTAAACATAAGATCTTCAGCTTGAAGCAAAGTGTCAAAGGCTGTACTGGAAAATGCCAGCTTCCCTGAGACCCAAAGGAGCTATGTGCTGATGCTGCTTTACTTCTGGGACCCTAGATATCTTCATACATTGAGGATTCACCCAAAAGGTGAATTGCCCAGACTCTGAATCTGGGCATAAAGGTTTCGAGAGTTTCTCCTGTGAAGCAAATATCAAATTTCTCCTATGAAGCAAATGTATAAATATCAAAACTGAGACTCAGTCGATGAAAAACCTGCTACTATTAAGGATACTAAAATGACCCAAAAAACAAAAATAAAGGTGTTCTCTGAAATCAATTCTTCAAACCTAAGATTGTGTTGCACCAGGCAGCATCACTGCAATCATTAGAAAAACTTCCAGGTGACCCCCCCTGAAGGGGACCACTCTCATTTGGGTGGTGAGTTCTGATTTGCATGGATGAGTCTCAGAGTGAAAGGCAGCAAACACTGCTTTCACCTGGAGACCATCACTGAGCATCCCTTCCAAATGAAATGCTCCACAACACAATTCTGGGTAGGACTGTTACGGCCAGGGGCTGTACTGCACCACTGGGAGTAAGAGGATTATCACCTGCCCTAGACATTGACAAGGGTATGTCAGTGGTGGCTCACGCCTGTAATCCCAGCACTTTGGGAGGCCAAGGCGGGTGGATCACTTGAGGTCAGGAGTTCGAGACCAGCCTGGCCAACATGGTGAAACCCTGTCTCTACTAAAAATACAAAAACGATTAGCTCGGCATCGTGGCACATGCCTGTAATCCCAGCTACCCTGGAGGCTGAGGCAGAAGAATTGCTTGAACCTGGGAAGCAGAGGTTGCAGCGAGCTGAGATCGTGCCACTGCACTCTAGCCTAGGTGACAGAGTAAGACCCCATCTCAAAAAAAAAAAAAAAAAAGTGTCAGGCTTCAAACAAATGTAGTCATAATTTCAATATGGGGTCTGAGCTGTGGACAATCAAACCCAGAGAGTAACACCCAAGTCCCATTATGGGTAGCATCTTTATATAGCTAATGCTACATCTTTAACTGGAACTGTGGGGGATTTCTACTTCACACACAGATATTAAGTATAAATATTTTCATCATATCCACTGTAAATTTTCTAAAATGCAGAATATTGCCTTTAGAAATCTAATGGAAAATGAAAGGAATCCAGAGAGATGGCCTAAATTATAAATTATCATATGTTGATGACAGCCACTAATACTGTTCAGCCAACACGGAGTGGATGCTTATTTCTTGGCTCCCATATCTTATTCCCCAAGTCCCTGGATAGAGCAGCGAGTGAGGATGATAAGGAATGAGGTTCAGCAGAGCTGCCCCAAATTCATCAACCCAGGAGAAACAGAAACATCCAAGAAAAATGTCCGCAGGGTCAGGAGATACAAGAAGGTACATTATCATCTCTAACTGGGATGCAGTCATTCTCATTCAATGATTCACTGAACAGGCCACATGGGTGGGGACCACCTATGATTAAGCCACCAGGTCACTGCTAAGCAGGAGATACTCACCAGAGGAGCTTCTTATACCCAGGTGGGTCATAGCAGCTGGGATGTTGTTCACACTATTCCCCACACTCATACTGCCAAAGTGGTGGTCGGTGGTGTCCAGGGAGGCTGGCAGGGGTGTCGAGTAGTGGAGGTTGGTTAGATCTGGCAATGACCCTCCAGTGTTCAAGGTCCCCAAGAAGGGTGAGAGGCCTAGGTTTTGACCATTATGTGGAAAAGCACTGAAAAAAGAAAGATTAAGAATGACTTTCTACAATGTATTTGGCTGTTGGGAAACCAAACATGGCTGAAACCTTTTCCTTGTCAAATAAGAGCAGTGGCTACAAAAGACCGAGGTCCTGGTGCGGCCTCTCTGATTCTGAGAACACTGGTGCTCGGCTTAACCTCTCCGAAACACATATCCTCACCCACTACCTGTGCCCACATTACAGGAATACTAGATTAGGGTCTAGAATAATCAAGACCAGATTAGATTATGGATGCAAAAGTATTCTGAAAATTATAAACCACTCTATAAAATGTGAGGCACTGCTATTTATGTAGTTCTTTTTGCTAGATTTTTAAGTTATCTTTGCTACCAGAAAAAGTATCTCTGAGTAACTAGCTACCTTCCAATATACCTTCCAAGATATATTTTTAAAATTACAGTCTTCATAAACTTTAAAGTGACAAAGAGATGTTGCCATTCATTCATCACAATCTATGGGCTAGGCACTGTGTGCCAGGCAGCGGGCCGCATGTTGGCGGCACCATGATGAACAAGCAGGGCGAGTGTGTCCGCCGGGGTCAGGCCTACTCCTGAAATGTACAGGCCTGGAGCAAGAGTATAAAAGAAGGCCCGCATACCATCTGTTTCCATTTTTAAAAGTTATAAATCAAATGAACAAACCCTTACATGAACTTTGTTCTATGTGTCTATCCTGACATATTATACCTTCATAATAGCCTGTGAAGCCAGATTTACATGTAGAATTCTCAGACTTCTTGGAGTTCTGTGCCAGAATGCACAGGGAGACAGCCTGGCCCTCAGTCCACGTCCCCTTCTCTTCCCCCTAGTTCTGTTCTGTACTGCAGTACGCACATAGCTATCCCAGCCTATGCAGCCAAACTCTGTCCACACCCTGCTGACTCTCTAGCCACCCCCCAGGCCTAGTGCGTATACACTGGTGGTACGTTCCCTTTGGGAATGAAGCCCTCTCAAGGGCGGGGCCCCAGGGAGGGGCCTGCTAGCCAGGTCTGAGAGGACCTTGTTTTGGAATTCACAGATGGGCAGGAGAGACAGCCTGGGAAAGCAAGTAACTGCAACGTGGCAGGAAGCGCGCTATGCTGGGTTTGAGAAGGGGTGTGTGTAACCAGTGCATATAAGTGACACCGGGAGCAAAAAAGCAGGAGTTGTCCATGTCAGGATGGGCTGTGGAGGGGACGGGTTTGCCATGGATGTGACACAGTGTGTGCGTGGAATTAAGAGTAGCTGGGCATGGCTGAGGTGTCAGGTGTCAGGGCAGAGGGTGAGGAGGGAGGGTGGCACATGGGGAGGGAGAGGCAGGCGGGAGAGAATGTGCTGTTCTCAGGAGTCTGGATCAGGGACTGTGGAAAGAGGGAGGCCAGGTTAAGCTGGAGAATGGCGTTTCAGAAATGTCACTGTGGTTCCAGTGTGGAGGATGGCCTCAGCAGGCAGAAGGAGAGGCAGGGAGAACCAATTAGAAGGACCACCTGCAGTGGTCCAGGGGTGATATAGGAAAAGAGCAGTGAGGGTGACGCGGAGGAGAATGCGGGAGAAGGTGCCACCAGCCAGGAGCAGAGGGAAGTCACGAATCCTGAGGACACTTCATTCCCTCCTGCACACATCAGCAGAGCACCTCCCAGGGGCCAGCCACTGGCATCAGGGCTTCAAGAGACTGAGCCATAAGGAGCATAACCGGCAACATAATACAATTCAGTAGTGCAGTGATAGAGCCTGGAGGGAGGCCATGTGGAGGGAAGCCCAGCTGACCTGGGGAGGCTTCCTTGGAGGACATCTGAGCTTAGTTTAAAGGCTAAAGAACTCAGGTGATCTAGTCAGGAAAAAGATTTCAGGCAAAGCTCACAGCATGCGCAAAAGCAGGGAGGTGTGAGACCACATGGTGTGCCCTCAGAACTGTGAGGATTCAGACCACGGGAGGTTGAGTTTAGGAGGGCTGGTTAGTGGTGGGAGATGGAAGTGGAAAAGCAGGTAGAGAGCACCCGAGGCTGGGACTGATGAGAGGCTGACACGACGCCAGTGGAAGGCTGGACGCGGGGTGGGCAGTGTGGTGGGGGAGAGGTATCAGCTTTTCTTAGGACAGCGTGGCTAACAGACTTGGGGAAGGGGTCTTGGGGTGCACGGAGCAGGCCTGGAGGTGGAGAGGCCGCTATGACTCTGCTGAACGCTCCAGCAGGAGGCCACGAGCGCAGGGAGGGAGAGGCAGGCTAGACTCTAGAGACAGGGAAGTAGGACTCAAGAACAACTCTGGGGCCTTTAGCCTGGGGACTGGTGGAGCCCCTCACTGAGACAGGGGACACTGAAGATGTGAGCAGATTGGGAATGAGGGCAGGGGTATGGATGAGATCACGAATTCTATTTTGGCTTTGAGTTTCTGCTCACTAGGAAGACATGCAGCAGGGATATTTCTCTCTCAGTTACGTACAGGAGGCAACCGACATTCTCAAGGTTCCACTGAACAGCAGAGGTGGCAGCCAGGGCATGGTGGGCTGATGATGGGTAAGCAGGAAGGAACACCTGAGA
Organism: Homo sapiens; assembly: GCF_000001405.40. Lineage (NCBI taxonomy): Eukaryota > Metazoa > Chordata > Mammalia > Primates > Hominidae > Homo > Homo sapiens. Next base: position 90,623,232 of record NC_000015.10, on the reverse strand, counting down.
GTAAATATGCTTTCAGAAAGCATGGCGGAGAATTCTGGAGATGAGGGACAGTTAACTAGCAGAGAAAGGCCTCCACAAATCCAGCGGGAGGAGGGCCAGGGAGTGGTAAAGTGGCCGGCCTGACTAGGAGGGACCTCGGTGTCCCTAGGACCAGAGAAGGGTGGTGACGGGGGAATCAGTGGCAGAAGAGAGCTGAGCACTCACTCCTGCCAGCCTCGCCTCACTTTTCTTGGTAAAAGTAGGACTGGGCGAACTGTGGAGTTTTGGAAAGAAATGAGGCAGCAGGAGAGGTGTCCAACCGGAGGGTGAGGAAGAAGGCTCATTTTGGTTGTAGAAAAACTGAATATAAATTTTGTCTTTTTATTTTATTTTGTGTTTTTTTGAGACAGAGTCTTGCTCTGTCGCCCAGGCTGGAGTGCAGTGGTGCGATCTTGGCTCACTGCAACCTCTGCCTCCCGGGTTCAAACAATTCTCCTGCCTCAGCCTCCCGAGTAGCTGGGATTACAGGCATGTACTACCATACCCAGCAAATTTTTGTATTTTTAGTAGAGACAGGGTTTCGCCATGTTGGCCAGGCTGGTCTTGAACTCCTGACCTCAAGTGATCGGCCTGCCTCAGCCTCCCAAAGTGCTGCGATTACAGGCATGAGCCACTGCGCCCAGCCTGAATTTTGTCTTAGATGGCTGGAAGTATGGAACTGTTTATAGGGTTAAAGATCAAGGACTAGAAAAATAAAATTGAGACCTCAGAGCCCTCAACGTGACAGCAGATGGGCTTTCTGACTGAGAAGAAAGATCCATGGGTGATCAGGTGGGAGTGAAGGCAGAGAGAGCAGGGGCGCGGCAGGGAGAAGCGTCCAACAGCACAGAGCAAGGATGGAAAAAATGTGACCACTGTGAAACAGGTCATTAGTAACGTTCACACAATTCCTCTGCAGCTGGGAGAAATACAGGTGGTTCCTTTCCAAATATAGTTACTACCTAACGGAGTCACCACTGATCTAAGGAAAGTAATGCGCCCCCCGGTTCAAGACCCTCTAACGACTCCCATCTTCTCTGCGTCAGATCCAAGCAATACAAGCCTCCTTGAACTCCAGGCCCACTCCTGCCTTGGGGTCTTTGCACTTGCTGTTCCTGCTGCCTGGAGCCCTCTCTGCGTCGCTTCACACTATCAGAAAGGTTTCCTCAACGCCCGCTGGTGGCTGCCTGTCCACCTGCCACAGTTGCGTCTCCTTCAGTGCATTTACCCACACATGACTTTTGCTGTGCTTTGCTTATTTGTTTCTGCCCATCTTGCTCTACTAGATTATTAGCTCCTCGAAAGCAGGAACTTGATCTGTTTTGTTCATTGTTTAACCCAGTGCCAAGAATTAGGGGGTCAATAAATATCTGCATGACTAGAAGTCACTGAATGGAATTCTATCTGTAAAGTAAGAGCAAGAAAGCAACTTTCTCTACCTAAGAAACACCTGCTTTAAAACTCTCCAGGTTGGCCAGGCATGGTGGCTCACACCTGTAATCCCAGTGCTTTGGGAGGATCACTTGAGACTAGGAGTTCAAGACCAACCTGGCCAACATAGCAAGGCCCTATCTATCTTTAAAAACAAAACAGGCTGGGCATGGTGGCTCATGCCTGTAATCCTAGCACTTTGGGAGGCCAAAGTGGGTGGATCACCTGAGGTCAGGAGTTCAAGACCAGCCTGGCCAATATGGTGAAACCCTATCTTTTCTATAAATAAAAAAATTAGCCAGGTATGGTGGTGCACGTCTGTAATTCCAGCTACTTGGGAGGCTGAGGTAGGAGAATCGCTTGAACCTGGGAGGCAGAGGTTGCTGTGAGCCAAGAGCATGCCACTGCACTCCAGCCTGAGCGACAGAGCGATACTCCATCTCAAATAAATAAATAAATACAAACAAACTAACTAAACAACAACAACAAAAACCTCTTGAGGGCTAAAGTACTGCAGCCCAATTCTATAATGTTAGGCTTTCAGAGCCTGAAGGTTATCTGATGGTTAAGCCAAAATTGATTCTTGAGGAAAATGTTTGTTTTTGTTTTTGTTTTTGTTTCCAAATTTCCATTTTACCAGGAAGCCCCTGAACCAGACTAGGTTGAGGGAGACTCCCTTGAGGAAAAGCTTGCCCCTTCCATGGGAATGTCCTGCACCTCTCGGCGGCCTGTCTTTTGTTGGGCATGCGTCCTGGCAGGCTTGCCCACTTTCTGAAGCAAACATCAACCCGTGGCGCAGCTCAGCAAATCACCTGAGTTTACGTTTAACCTGCCAGAAAGAATGTCTGAGCTCCAGGTACTCAGTAGAGAGTGCCTTGACTGCGCTGCTGTGAGATACTCACAGGAAGCTCTGTTGGGGGAAATCACATTCAATGACTGCTTGAAGTGGATTTAGTTCACCCACTGACCCACTGGTGATTGTATGTACTAAGTCAGATCATGCAAGAATCCCATTTCCAAACCACATTATTTTGGCCCTGCAGCCTTGCTGTTTCTGAATTGGCTTCAGTTCCAAGTGGTGGGACTGCTCTCACGGACACTATGATAAACAGCCCCAGGAAGCCTCCTTGGGGCTCTCTCAGGACACAGCCCATCGAGTTCCAAGGGGTCCTCTCTGTGAACCTCCCCAGCAGCTGTCTGTACCGTCCCACGCAGCACACCAGCCGGCCCTCCCAAGGCAGTTTCTGTTAAGGCAAGGGCCTCATTATCTCTCTCATCTCCTCGTTCTCTCTTAGACTCAACTTCCTCATGAACTTCCTTTTTCATTTGCTTGTACTATATTTTTGTAAGTTGTCTCAAACCTTTTAGGGAGTGAAGTTGCATACTATTAAATCCACTAACAAATTAATGGTTTCATAGAAACTTTTTTGTATTGCAAATGGAAAATATATTTATCTTCCATTTATGTTTTTAAATTGTTGTAAAATAAATATACCATAAAATTTACCATTTTAACCATTTCTGTGTGTACAGTTCAGTGACATTAAGTACATTCACAGAAACTCTCTTAATTAACTTCTGTGCCATTAAGCTGCCAGGTGAACTGATGCTTCCCTTTTCCCCTGGCCAGGATGTCACCGATGCCCACAGCCTGCCACAGCTCGGGGCTGGTAGGCTCCTCTCGATTCCTGCACGTTTCTGCTTCTGACACTGCTTCTACCCGGAGAGTTGTGTATTTACCAAGAGTCAGTTGTGTGATTCTCAAACATACTTATGTAAGTTTTGTTTGTTATTATAGTCATGTAATTTAATTAGTTTAAACAGATGAAATATGAGTATCAAAAGAGAGTGGCTGTTTTTATGAAAATGCAGTTGACTTTCAATTTATGCATAGCAAGTTACGTTTCTGAGAGTTCTGTAACAAAGCAGCGAGACTTTTGGGAAAAACCTTCAGGATAGTCCCTGAAACACGAACAGAAAGAATATTACTTACTTGCCACCTCCAACATCACAGGATCGAGGGCGTCCTGACAGGGACTGAATCTGAGAAGAGACAATGAAAGCTGGGCTTACTCGCTGTAAAGCCAAATTCAAGTTTTTGAAAAGTGTCTTCGTAAGGACCTTGAGGCTCTAGTGGGCGCAAGTGAGAGCTTGCGTGTCGACAGAGTCCTCACACAGCAGCCTTTTAGGTTTTGGCATGACTTTTTTAAACTCAAACTTCCAGGCCTAAGGGAGGCATAATATTAATACATTTTCCTAATTTGATGCCTTATCAATTTACCTTCTGGATTAACATTAAAAGACCAATGTTTTACACATAGAGCTTTTTACGGAGTTTCACTCTTGTCATCCAGGCTGGAGTGGCAGTGGCACATCTCAGCTCACAGCAACCTCCGCTTCCTGGGTTCAAGCGATTCTCCTGCCTCAGCCTCCCGAGTAGCTGGGATCACAGGCATGCACCACCACACTCGGCTAATTTTTGTATTTTTAGTAGAGACGGGGTTTCACCATGTTGGCCAGGCTGGTCTCAAACTCCCGACCTCAGGTGATCCACCCGCCTCGGCCTCCCAAAGTGCTGGGATTACAGGCATGAGCCACTGGGTCTGGACGACATAGAGCTTTTAAATAAACATTTCTTTTCCAATTGGCTTGAGAGGAAATGAAATAAATAAAAGAAAAAAGCAGGGTGAAAAAAGAAATGAATGTCAGAAGAAACTAAGCTATTTCAACTAGAATATAAGCTCCAGACGGACAGGAATGAGTATTACAAATCCACAAGAACCAAGGGAGATGAACATCTCTTTCCAGAGACCAGTCCCTGGTACTCAGGGAGGAGGGCACACCACTGCCCTCTTTGGTGGAGAAGACATAGTTATCCTCTGATAAAAGCCTCCACAACCACATGTGCCTCTCACAGCCAAAAGACAGTGTGGTTGCTTCTCCTGTGTTTAAATATGTAAATTTTAAATCATATCTCTTTTTTACTTCCCAAATGATTAAACATCAAATACATCTTGCTTTTACAAAAAGCCTTTTAAGACAACTAATGCTAATGGTGACTCTGGTAGACTTGGCAGAAGAAAATGGAACTGGGCCAAAGGGATCCTAAACAGGTGGGGATAGTTAAGTACACAGGCAATACAAACAATTGCAATAGAGCATCCTTAAGGGCTGGAACAGATTAACTGTTTTCTTTCAAAGTCAACACAGCTTCCCTCTGGGAAGAAAGGCCAAGGCAAGTACCGTGGGACCTCCCCTTTCTTCCACAGTGGGTGAGGTTTAGAGAGCCGAGGTGGAGGTCAGCTAGCACAATTTTAGATACAAATTCTCAAAGGCGCATGGAAATCATAGTAAAACAGATGACTTGTCTACTGACTCTTGGAGGACTCAGGTCAAATGCCCTTGAGTTAAAAAGAGCTATCTGGTATACCAGTAATTCTGGACAGAAGCTGGAGACTGGTATAAAGTGCTGGCTAAAAAAACAGAAAAATCTGCCTATGACTTACAACCAGGTTTCAGAGCTTTTAGCAAAACAAATAAGATATGGAGGACTTAGCAGGGTTTTTTTTTTTTTTTTAAATAAGTCAATTCATATGAAAATTAGTAAGCCAAGAGATCAATGTGCTAATTCATTGACACAAGCGCGATAATTTTTACTTGAAACGTCCTTCCCTTGTATATTCTTATCTCTGTTCTCAGACAAATCTTCTCCTTTTCCCCCAGTTCCTCTTGCTTTCACCTCTGCAGGATTTTTCAATGACCTCTAAGTACAAACATTCAGTGACAACAAACATAGCTGAGTACTGTTCACCCACCTCCTTGGTCTCCCACAGTTGTTTTGGCAGTGGCTTCGGAACATTTAACAGATTCTCTTCTTTCAATGGGCCAGGGAAAGATGCTACTAAAGGGAAAAAAAAAGCAGCACAGTCATTGCATGAGAAGGCAGGAATCCAGGCCGGGCACGGTGGCTCACGCCTATAATCCTAGCACTTTATGGGGCTGAGGCAGGAGGATCGCTTGAGCCCAGGAGTTTGAGACAAGCCTGGGCAACATAGTGAGACCCCCGTCTCTACAAAAAATTTAAAAATTAGCTGGGTGTGGCGGCTCACACCTGTAGTCCCAACTACTTGGGAGGCTGAGGTGGGAGGTCTCCTTGAGCCTGAGAGGCTGAGGCTGCACTGAGTCATGACGGTGCCACTGCACTCCAGGCTGGGCAACAGAACAAGACCCTGTCCCAAAAAAACAAAGACAACAACAAAAAGAGAAAGCATCCATCCTACCTACCTTTGGCTGAACAAATTATCTTTGTAAAAACTGATTTAACAAATAAAATGTTTGACTTATTTAACACACAAAAATGACTCATTTATGGACTGTCTACTAGGGAAGCCACTTTGGGCACTACTGTGGGAGTTGCAGAAATGAGTAAGACATGGATTCAACCTTTCACGAATGTGTAATCTAGTCAGTGGATAAGGGCAACACATAAATAACGATCACTGAAGGAAAAAACGAGTGGAAGCCCGAGAGAGCCGAGGGTATGATGCTGCTGAGAGATGAAGTGCAGAAGAGGAAGAGGCCAGGAGGGCTTTGGAGCTGGGCACTGGGGGGAGCCCTTTAGAGACACAGGAGAAGGGAATTCCAAGAGAGGGGAAGGTAAGAGTGGAGCAACTCTTTTCAACTGGAGTGTAGGCTGAGTCAAGGGGATGGTAGGAAGTAAAATGTAGACAATTGAGGCCAGGGCAGGGGGGCTCTGCAGGCTTGGCAAAGGAGAGAATGGAAGAAGAGGGATGAGGAGAGAACCTGCAACAACGATGAAATGGGGAAAGTATTGAGAAGAGGAGTATTAGCTGGAAGACATGGTGGCAGTGAAGCTCCTTGGTTGTGGGATGGAAATGGGGGACAAAGAGGAACCAACAACCAAGAGGATCTGAGGCTGGGCAGCTGCCGGGACGGCTGTTGGCTCTTTAATGCTATGAAACAACCTGTATAAAGGGACCATTCCAGGGCTTTCTGCTTTAACTCTCTCAGTCGTGCCAGGTAAAACAAGAATGCTGGGTCACAGAACAAGTAAATACTTTTTATTCTCAGAAAGAGACCAGAAAACAAGGGCCAGCCCTCAGGAGTTAAGTGATCTGATGTCAGGAAGGGGATTCCAAGTTAGGGACACCAGTGACTACTCAGAACCAGGAATGCTGTTGAGTTCCAGTGGCCACAGAAGCTCCAGTGTGACTGTCATGACTATCCTGTCTTAGCCCCACACAAGATGGCCGGGTACCCAAGAATAATGGACCCCAGAAAGAAGTCACATGACACAGGGCCCAAACTTTCCTAGTAAATTTTGAGAAAAGACTTTGAAACAAAAACTCTAAAATAAGTTTATCTTGTATTTAATAAAACTGATGATATAAATGCAGTTGTGGACTTCTAGAATGAATTAAGTATGGGTAGCGGTCTAACTTATTTGACAGCACGGTAAGGGGAGGATACAATGCTCTTCAGGCAACCTGTCCAGTACCACCAGGGCAGCAGTCATTTCTGCTAAACCAGGCCATGCTTTGTCAGTGTTCCCAGGTGTCTCTCTTAATCCTGATATTTACATCACTCTCTTTTGAAGAGCGTATTTTGTCAACATCCTTGTTGATTCTCTTTTCTTCAAATGTTACCTGACTTAATCATTAATATAATGATAATCATTGAGACCAGCCTGGACAATGCGGCAAAATTCCATCTCTACTAAAAATACAAAAAAAAAAATTAGCTGGGTGTGGTGGTGGGTGCCTGTAGTCCCAGCTACTCGGGAGGCTGAGGCAGGAGAATCGCTTGAACCCAGGAGGCGGAGGTTTGCAGTGAGCCGAGGTCACACCACTGCACTCCAGCCTGGCGACAGAGCGAGACTCCGTCTCCAAAAAAAAAATAAAAATAAAAATAAATAAAAATAAATAAAAATTGCCCTGAAAGGTACTGTCAAATGCTGGGAAAAGTTTGAAGGACTGAGTAAGGTGTCATCACACACAGCTCAAGGCTACTTCTCACAAGAGGTTGGTTATAAGAACATGGTTGGGGCAGACTCCAGTGCCTTAATGGGGACTGTTTTCTTAGAGTTCATTGTTTTTAGTCCCTTTTCATATCCAAGATTTGTTGGGAATTCTTCGAAGCACTGAAGGAATGCAGTCAACCTTGAAGCCATTTATTAATTTCTGTTCTAGTGGATTAGATGTTTATTGATGTTTTACCTTTTTGTGATTTTATTCATGGCCTAAAAGGGCTTGCCCAGAAAAGGAGCTGCAGGATGATGACAGAGAGCTGTGCGTCTTGCAAGATGCTCCTCATTCATCATGTCCCCCCTAGGGTCTCACCTCTGTGACATATAAACCTAATTTAGTTGTTTATTTTTAGATTATAAAAATTAAATTCCAGATTATAAAGATTTAGAGAAAAGAAAACAGTCCCTGGTACTGAGTAAATAAATGAACTGTGTCTGACCCTCATTTGTCAATGGCTTTGAGTGTCATTTCCATAGATCTCCAACAATGTTTTAATTGGCTTTACGAAACTCAGTATCTTATGTAAGGTTTGCATTTTCATTTCATAACCAATTTGCATTTTCCTGGCATTGTTATCTGTCAACGAAGACGTTCTAAATGGGTAGACTACTGGAATAACTAATTGTTTAAGTGATCAATTAATTAATTTATTTATTTATTTATTTATTTATTTTTAGACGGAGTCTCGCTCGGTCGCCAGACTGGAGTGCAGTGGCACAATCTCAACTCACTGTAACCTCCGCCTCCCGTGTTCAAGCGATTCTCCTGCCTCAGCCTCCTGAGTATCTGGGACCACAGGCACGTGCCACCACGCCCGGCTAATTTTTGTATTTTTAGTAGAGACGGGGTTTCACCATGTTGGTCAGGCTGGTCTCGAACTCCTGACTTCAAGTGATCCACCTACCTCAGCCTCCCAAAGTGCTGGGATTACAGGCATGAGCCACTGTGCCAGGCCAATTCATTCATATTTTCATGTGATTACAATTTTTGGTTCCTTGCTCAACCTTGTGACTGTGGGGACCTAGATAAAAAGGAACCTTTGTAATGCAACCACATATTTCCTTTCTCCTGGCCCTGAACATGGCTAGCCTTAATTTTCTAGAGGCTCTCTGAAAAGTAAGCCAATCAGCAGTTGTCAGCATTTGGGGGAGTCCTGAAAACATGAATATTTATTAGTAAAGGTATTGAAAGGTTATGTCCACTAATCAGCATCCCACTCCAATATAGGTAGGTAAAATCAGTTCATACCTTCCCCATGTCCATTATTCTCACCATCACAGAAACCTAGCGGGAAAGGAAAAAGAAAAAAAGAAAACACTTTTATGTGGTACTTTCATTTTCATGAATTTATGAATCAGTAACTCTTTATGATTTGAAATAGAATTTTGAAAATTCTAAGGCACTTTTGATACACTGATTTTCATTTAAGGTGCTTTATCATTTATACTAAAAATAGGTATAGCTAATTTGAAACTAAATTTGGTTCCTTTTTCTTTTCCTTTAAAATTGTCTGTCTGAAATTTTCTTACTGTCACTGTCCTGAGAGGAGAACAATTTTTACAAAGCCTGAGAATCTCTATTCAAACCACAAAGTAAAGAAGTATAGATGGAAATTCTCTTCCAAATGCTTCATCATGGGGTTAAGAGCAGGTAACTCAAAAAGCCTACATCACTGTTTGATACTTACCATGGGTGTCTACAGGAACAAATCCGAAGTTTCATGCTGTAGGATATTATATATATTTCTTATGCAGTGAAGTTATTTTAAGAAGAAGATTTATCTGGAGTCTAAGTTAATTTAAAGGGTACATGAGATAGCTATTCACAAAGTTTTAAAACTTTGACTTGGAATAAATTCTGGCTGAATGAAGTATTTTTAATCCATAAATTATACTGCAGATGACAAAGCATAGTATTTCCTATTGCTCTAAGCTAAAACTAAAGAACCGTGCCAAGAATGTAATATCTTAGCATTCCCTTAAGAGCAATCAAATATACCAAATAAGTTTTCAGTACAGAATCAGGATACATTATTATAAAGTTCTAAGCCTTTAAGTATAGCTTACTTACATTTTAGATGAGTTTTTGGCTAAGGTTAACCTATAGGTTAACCTGATTAGTCTATACAATTTGAATGAAATGTCTAATAACCATTCACTCAACCCATATTTAATAAGTTTCTGCATTAAGTGCTAGGTGGGGCCGGGTGATACAGTGTAGGTGAGAAGACAGATCAGGGTAACACGGTAGCACATTCTATAACACAGGTAGAAGATATAACATTTTAACAGAGCCCAGGGGCAACAGGAAGAGTGCCCAGGAATACGAAGAGGTCGATAAATGAAGCAGACACACAAAGACAGAATTTCTTTCAGGCCCACAGAACCAGACTCTAAGTAAGTGACTGAAAGCTTTATTTTACAGCACATAAAGAGCCCTTGGGTGAGCCTGCTAAAATGCAGATTCTTGGGCCCAACCCTCAAAGATTTTGATTCAGAAGGTGTGAGAGTCGGCCAAGGAATCTACATTTTTTTTTTTTTTTTTTTTTTTTCCCGAGACAGAGTCTCACTTTGTTGCCCAGGCTGGAGTGCGGTGGCGTGACCTTGGCTCACTGCAACCTCCACCTCCTGGGCCTCAGCCTCCCCAGTAGTTGGGATTACAGGCGCGTGCCACCAGGCCCGGCTAATTTTTCTATTTTTTGGTAGAGACGGGGTTTCACCATGATGGCCAGGCTGGTCTTAACCTCCTGACCTCAGGTAATCTGTCTGCCTCAGCCTCCCAAAGTGCTGGGATTACAGGTGTGAGCCACCACGCCCAGCCTACATTTTTAATTGTCGTCTCAGGAGACTCTATTGCAGAAGGTCCTTGGCCCATTCTTACTTATCAGCCATTTAACCCATCAAAAGACAGGCAGTGTGAACAGGTGAACACTGAGGTGCAGAGAGAGAAAAGCTGTGGAAGCTGTGGCTCTACAACCAGCAACGTCAAAAGGACAGGAGTTGCGGATTCCTATTTTGGCTTTCCTGAGACCCTCATATTAAGAAAGGGCAGGGAACTTCATTCTGATTACTAAAAAGTGACTATCCTGTTAAAAACTAAAAACTAGGTTTTATATAGCAATCTGGTATGGCGTGCTGAAGCATCTCTTCATCATCAAGACACCAGTCACTCGAGGTTTAATTATTAAGCCTGACCTGTCCCTGAAACATGAGGACTCAACTGAGGGCTACCATGTGAAACTGCCTGAGTGGCTGGCAGATACCCCATGTGACAGCCCCATTAGTGCATGCTCTCCTCAGACTGGAACAGAAGGAAGGCTTCATGGAGTAGGTGGCACCTGAGGCGCCATTCATTGAAGGATAATGGTGAAGAAGAGGATAACCAACAGCCAACCTGACTGCTCACTTACTATGTGCCAGGCGCTTTACACAGGTGATCTCATGGGATCCCCACAGCAACTCTGCGACGTAGATGCTATTATCATCCCCAAGATCACACTGCTAGTAAGTTCTGGGACTAGAACTCTGGCCCGTGTGTCTTCAGAATGTTCATGTCCCTAACCAATTTGCTGTAGTACCTGGAAGATTTAGACAACCGGAAGCGAAGCTGAAGGGGATGCCCAGTGTGAGGAGGAGGCAGAGGCGGAGGAGGAGGCGGAGGAGGAGGAGGAGGTGGAGGCGGAGGAGGAGGAGGAGGAGGAGGAGGAGGAGTGGGGGGTGGTTGGGGAAGGATAAGAAGGAGAAGGAAGATGGAAGAGTGTGGCTGCAGCACATGGTGGGAGGACTGGGAGATGGGCTGGACCGAAGCAGGCTGCTGGTCATTTGGCAGGATGTAGGGGATGGAAGGTTTCAGTTGGAGAAGTGACATGATCAGAGTTAAGCTTCAGAGACTGCTCTTGCAGCAGAGTAGGAGGTGGATTGAAAGGAGAAAGCCTTAAGGCAGGGAGGCCGACTAGAAAACCAATGCAATAGTCCAAGGCAAACAGGAACCAAGTAGGATACTGGCAGTGAGGACAGAAAACCAGAGGCAGATTTGAGACATACTGCTGGGATAAAATGAACAGGACTCGGCTACTGAATGGGCGTAGGGGCATGGGAATGGGAGTAATCAGATGCAACTCTCAGGGTCTGGGCTGCGGTGACCAGAAGGATGGTGGTGGCAATGACTGATATACTGGCACCAAGCTAACATATCATCAAAATATCCAAGCCTGGATTTTTACTGCTAAATTAAAAACCCACAAGATAGCACTACAAATAAAGGGTTAAAAAGAAAAAGGAATGAGTTGTGACTGGCTCTCTGGAAACAGGACACTAATTTTATCAGTCCCACAGGGATGGGACAGCGATGACCAAGGCTGCAACTGTGTTCCAGGAAACCTCAGAGCCACCGAGGGCCGGTCTCTTCTAACTAAGGGAACCGAGACCATGTTCCTTCTGTGTGCTCCCATGCCTGGCAAATCTAAAATAACTCCCTACACAGCCTTGATTTGCTAAGTAGAAGGGAAGGCAAGGGGAAGACCCCTTAACCATTGTCCTAAAGGAGGCCTCTGGTGTTTCAGCCTCCCCACTCTGGGCCCTCCTGTCCCTGGGTGACACTCTTTTTGCCCCTCTTCAGATCTGGGATGCTTGTACCTGCCACTGTACCCCCGCCCAATCCATGCAATTAACAGGCTTACATCTTTCAAGGTTCTTTGCATTGTAAACCTTCTCCTTAACTCTGCAGGTCAAAGCTTATTGGCAGGTGAAAGGTCACCAGGTCCAAGGCATGCCAAGCCCCCTCCACGCTAAGGAGCTGAGTACTGTGGTCCCCAAAGATGGCAATATTCAGCATCTACAGCCCTGGATGCAGAGAAGACACCTATTACGCACTCTGCTCCCCTTAGCTCTAGACTGTTCCCTGAAAGGAAGAGACCACCCCAGTCCCTCCTCCACATGCCCGATGTCAGGAGGGGTGTTAGGAGACAGTCCTAGGCTATGGGACAGGGCACGTGTCCCACAGAGTCCTGTGCTTCCCTATCTGCATGTAAGTGTGAAATGGTCATTAAGGTGCACATGCTGCCAGGGAAATGGCCAACATTCCCTCTTTATAGATTCTGAATAATTAAACAAAAAGAGAGAAATTATAAAAATCCTGTTTGGTTCCATAAAAATTTATTTCTGTCATTTATACCAACTGCTTATCATTTATGCCTAATTGTCATGGAACTCAATAGCTATTATGAAAATTACTCAACATGTATCAGGCTTTGTCTTCTTGTGACACAAATCTCCACTCATGAATGTATCATAGTTTATTGCTCATGTAGTTAAGCCGTGAGCAGATGCTCTCCTCATGGGCTCACAGCAACAGCAACAACAATAACAAAAAAGTGTGGCTGCATCATTCTGCCTAGGAGAGATTCCCAGGGAAAGAAGAGTTATTATTGCTTCGAACATAGAACCCAGTTCTGGGCTTCAATTATATTTTCCCATCACTGTTTAAATCTTTCTTTGGTTGGTCCTATAAGAAATACCTTTTTGCAAAGCCAGTTGATAGTTTTAAAATCCAAAAGGAAAGAAAATGAAAAACTTTAATGAAACACAGGAGGAAAATACATGAAACTATTTAAAATAGCTCCCACCAACAAATATAATTCTCCAGAAATAATTTCCATCCTTGGAGACTTGAATAATATTTTAAACACTGGCTTTCCCATGTAAACACATCCATATTAGGATGTGTTTCTGAGTTCTGCTATACTTGCAAGGCAACTGCAGGAGCAGGCACACAGTTCAGACATCTGAGTTGGAGGCCAGCCCACCCTCCATGGTTGTCAGATATTGTAGCCCAACAATTTCTAACTGCTGATTTGAAAAGGAGAGACCACCACGATTCTCAAGTCAACGCAGGAACCCTGATCCAGGATTTCTTTCTTTCTTCCTGTTTTTCTCATTGCTCTGTCTACCTGGACCAATGTTTACATTCCTTTGCTTTTCTTATTCCATCCTCACTTACCCCTTCTGACATTTCTCACCTCTTCTCTCAGAGGCTACATCGCTAAGAATGAATACTTCAGCTCAGGTAATTTCTTTCTTCAGTTACTTTCTTTTTCTTAGCATGCAAGCCTCAAAAAATCCTCACTTGAATTACCTGTGATTGCCTTGTTTCTCTAGGCCTTTGGCCCTTTCTAGAGAAGTGTAAACTTTGCAGAGGGTAATGTAAATGAAGGATCGGCAGAGGCAGAAATGCAGGAGCTCCAGGGTAAAAATCTGTCTGTCTAGCTGGCTCCCGGTCCATGGAGATTAGGATCCTGCTGTGCTCACAGGCACCCCCACTGATTACAGCCTCTGCTTTTTTTAGGCTTTGTTTACATATTCCCATCTCTACCTATCCTGAAACTAAACTCATCCCTCTTCCCACACACCCCACTCCTCTAAGCAGTGAGCAGTGCACCCATATCCAATTCCAACATCAATTTCAACATCACTGCCAACTTTCATATTCCCATGTATGGAAGCATGGGTAGATGTCCCTAACCAATTCTGAAAGCTCCCATAGTTTACAAGCAAACAATCATTTAAGCAAATGTAGTCTTCTCTGAATTGCACCAATAGAACAAATATAGCAACAATTATTATTCAGTACTATCCCTGCTATATACAAAGAAATACGATCATAAGTGTTCTCCTGGAAGGAACAGAGGCCATTTAGGCTTTAAATTGTCCAAAAAGCAAAGAAAACCAGAAAAGCTGGTTTCTTGGCTAAAGATTTATTTATTCCTGTTTCAAGAACAAATACACAGCCCTGAAAGTTTCTGGGCAAGAGTCAATCTGCATATGGAATGGATAATTCAAGACCATTGTTCTTTCTAGATTATAAACCCCAGAAAGGTAGGCTTGAAATGTGTCTGAATGACCAGCCTCACTTCATGTACAGGTCAGGTGCCAGCACCGAGAGGGTGTTTTGGCAAATGCCGTGCACATGTGAGCCAGTGTGTGATTCTTCACACTTCTCCATCAGTACGGGCTCCTCTGTGCCGGGCACTGTGCTAGGGGCTGGAGAGAACAAGACCATTAAGATGCTGCCTTCAAGAAATCTACACTGAGCAGAGAAAGAGATGCATGTTCACATAAAAAAGCAGCCAAGCATTGCAGGTGCTAAGAGAGCAGTCTGGGATGTTAGAAGGACACGATAACTCTGAGCTGAGAGGAAGGAAGGTCAAGGATGGCTCCACAGACATGAGGACACACACAAGCTGAGGCTTACGGATGGAGAGGGTGCTGGCCAGGAGTGAGAGAGAGAGGAAGAGACAGGAACAGGAAGAAACACCAGTAGAACCCAAAGTGGTTCGCATGGCTACCTTGGGTGTGAGGCGGGGGAGCAGAGAGAAAAGGGAGAGAGGCAGACAGGAGCCAGGCCTTGGGGCTCATGTCATTCCAAAGAAGATCTGGGCTCTTTCTCCTGAAGGTGAGGGGTGGCACTGAGGATTTTAAGTGGGAGAGCAAGATGATCAGGTTTGGGTTCGCTCTGGAAGCAGAGCTGTGAGATGGCATGAGTGGGCCTCTTCCCCACTCCGGGTTACTCCTGGCCTCTCTCCATCCCCTTACTCACAGTGGCCAGGGGGCAACTGAGCAGGTGATGCACAGTTCCAGCCCGACCTCCTCTTCCCCCATCTCAAGGCAGCAGGCCTCTGCTCCACCCTCCCTCCCCGAGGCTTGCCTGACCCCTCCTCCCAGGGGACCACACTGGCCAGTGCTGCCAGCCACTCAGGGGGAGTCAGCCTCATGCTGGGGTTCAGTCTCAGCAGGCCCACCAACCTACAGAGACAGTCACTTCCTCCAACCTGGTCTTAGTAGTAATAAAGGTGATATCTAGCTCTGACTGTCACTTCTAGTTGTATTTCTCAGTTTGTTCAGATCCTGGGTGGGGAAAGAGGACTCTTGGGGAACTTAACATAAAACTGGATTGAAGGGATGTGAGACTGGAAATCAGGAGACCAGTCAGGAAGTTATTAGAAGATGACGGGTGCCCAGAAGAGGGCCAAGAGACACCAAGAGGGAGAGCGTGCTGTGGAGGAAGCAGGGCAGAGGCAGGGGACGCTGGGAGCTCCATCCATCCTGACTGCATCATGGACACACACGCTTCCCTGCCACGAGCTGCCTCTCTAAGATCACTGAACCGGGAAGCGCAAACACCACTTCAGCTTCTCTCTCCCTTGGTTCCTAGGACAGAATGAGCAAGCACAGCTGCTGTCAGCAGTGGCCTGTGTGTCTTACCCATGTATGGGGCAGGCCAGGCCGACTGGCCCCCTCCTCCATAGGGGTCCTGGGGCTTGGTACTCAGAGCACTCGTGTGAAGAGCAGAATCAGAATTGGTCCTAAGGAGGGGAGGAGAGAGGCTGGCTGAAAATCCGTTTTCCTTAGTGAAAATGCAATAGTCTTTGTTGAATATTACCAACAGGAAAGAAGGCAAGAATAACTGATTTATAATCAACCATCAAATAAGGGGTTAGGACCTACCTGAAGTTCTTTATATCAATTAACAGCCTCTGAGGATCGCCCACACTCCAGAATATTTTAACTTAGACTCATATAGCCTTATATGCTGAAGCTGATGGCATGGCGATCAAGTTCAACAAGGTGGGCCTCGGATTCATGGCTTCCGTCTAAGAGCTTCCTATTCTTCCCAGCTCGGAAGCTGGCTGTGGCCAGTTTAGCCTGTGGCTGCACTAGGTTTTCTCCACCTGAGAGTAGCTGTTTCTAAGTAAAGGATCACTTAGAGCAGTGGTTTGCAAAACCCTTCCAGGGAGAAGGTAAGATCAAGACTATTCTCAAAATGATAGTAAAGTGTCCTCTGTTTTTTCACTCTCGCTCTCTCCCAAGCACGGCGGGCTTCCCCAGCGGCCACGTGAGGTGTGATGCCCCCACCGCTGAGCGCAGGCACAGACCACCCAGCTGCCTTGGAGGGATTTGTAAAAGGTGAACATTGTCACTATTTTCAATACTTTTTTTGTGTTTCTTTTCAAAAAGATATAATTTATGTTAACATGTAATGGGCTTATTATTTTTTTAATTCACTAGTATCTTTAAAAAATCTCTCAGTTTAATTTCTAATATCAATAGATATTCTCACATAAACAAATACTCTTTGAGGGCCTCAATATTTTTTTTATTTTATTTTATTATTTTTTTCTGAGACAGAGTCTCGCTCTGTTGCCCAGGCTGGAGTGCAGTGGTGTGATCTCGGCTCACTGCAACATCTGCCTCCCGTGTTCAAGAAATTCTTCTCCCTCAGCCTCCCGTGTAGCTGGGATTATAGACGTGCGTCACCATGCCCAGCTAACTTTTGTATTTTTAGTAGAGACGGGGTTTCACCATGTTGGCCAGGCTGGTCTCGAACTCCCGACCTCGGGTGATCCACCTGCCTCAGCCTCCCAAAGTGCTGGGATTACAGGCATGAGCCACTGTGCCTGGCCTATTTTATTTTATTTTACTAGTGTTACTTTTTGAGATGGAATTTCACTCTTGTCGCCCAGGCTGCAGTACAGTGGTGTTCACTGCAACCTCTGCCTCCCGGGTTCAAGCGACTCTCTCGCCTCAGCCTCTCAAGTAGCTGGGATTACAGGAACCCGCTACCATGCCTGGCTAATTTCTGTATTTTTAGTAGAGACGGTGTTTCACCATGTTGGCCAGGCTGGTCTTGAACTCCTGACCTCAGGTGATTCGCCCGCCTTGGCCTCCCAAAATGCTGGGATGACAGGCATGAGCCACTGCGCCAGGCCTCCATGTTTTTTAAGGCTGTAAAGTAGTCCTAAAAGAAAATGTGGGAGCCACTAATGTATAGCAAATTTCTGAAATTCTCCCAGATAGCTTCAATGTCTACACAGCTTTGGTTGCAAGAGATGATTATCTATTTATCTCATCATAAGGTCAAACTGTCGGCCATAGAAAGGACTTTACGGTAAGCAACTTCATTAGCCTACAGTGCTTCTTTGTGGTTCATTCCAGTGACAGCCTCAGGTGGCTATGAAGCCACGTGGCTTCAGAGGAGGGAAGAGGCAGACAAGGGCAGAACCCACAGTGCAACAGAAAGAGCGTGGCCGCTGAGATCAGAGAGACCTGGGTTCAGATTCCAGCCTCTTTTTACAGATTCAAAGAGACTCAAGAGAATATCAAACGAATGCAGAGCCAACTGGGAAAATCTAAATACCGACCAGGCATTGAATTATATTAAGGAGTTATTTTTAATTTTGTTAAGTGTAATAGCGGCATTGTGGTTATGTTTTTTAAAAAAGGTTCTCGTCGGCCTTAAACTGCTGGAGACATTTCAAGGTACAATACTATACTAGCCAGTCACGGGACTGAGGTGGGAGGTAGGTTTGGAGAGACTGGCAGAATGCTGATAATGAGTGAAGCTGAGGATGGGCACCACAGGCCTTTTATAACTCTTCTGTTTGAGTATATTTAAAATTTTGCACCATTCATCGGGTTTCTTTTTTATTTTGAGACAGCGTCTCTCTCTTGCCCAGGCTGGAATGCAATGGCGCAAACATGGCTCACTGCAGCCTCAACCTCCTTGGGCTTAGGTGATCCTCCCCACCTCAGCCTCCTGAGTAGCTCGAACCACAGGCACGTGCCACCACGCCTTTTTTTTTTTCATAGAGACAGGGTCTCACCATCTTGCCCAGGCTGGCCTCAAACTGCTGGACTCACACGATCCTCTGGCCTCAGCCTCCCAAAGTGTTGGGACTATAGGCGTGAGCCACCATGCTCAGCTGCATTTTTTCAAATCCTAGTCCTTCACCTATTAGCTAAGGCCCTTAAACAAGTCACTTAACCTTTTAGAATGGAAAATAATACTCATTCTTGTAGGGTGTTGTCAGGATTGAAAAAAAATGGCTGAGGTAGAACTCTTACTCCTGGAGTCTGGCCCAAAGTGATCATGATAATAGCTGATGTTTATTCAGCACATATGCTTCCCAGGTATTATCTTATTCAACCCTCACAACCAACCCATGATCTAGGTAGCATTATCTCCATTTTTCAAATGAGTAAACTGAGGCAATCAGAAGTTTAAAAATCTACTCAAGGTCATACAGCAAGATGCAAACCCTGGGAGTCTCATCCCAGACCTCGTGTGCTCTATACTTTCCCCTGTAGACACTCAAAAAATGGTGGGTTTTGTTTTGAACATGTCATATCAACACAGCTTACATAAACACACTCTGGCAACTGGATGCTATGTAAAAAATATCAGGACAGTTAAATTGCTTTAAAATCTACTCCTACCAGGAAACAACCCATGTACCTGTTAAGTGCAGATGTCAGCCTGAACCCAGGATGCTTTTCGTCTTTCCAAGGAGGCTGCTGCCTTTAAAAACCAGAACAACATAAAAGGAAAAGAAGTCAATCCACAGACAGCAAAGGAGGGCCTCAGCACTTGCATTTGAGAACTGGCTCTTCTACTCACCTCGCTCTGCAAGAGTTACTTAAAAATACCCCACACCTCGCTCATTTTGCTCATCATTGTTAAAATGAGGTAAGACTCCATGATCCTTCCAGTCCTGTGATCTCTGATTTCCAGTATAAAAACTACTACAAACCCATAAGGCACAGGATTAGCTAGCTGGGCAGATGAGGAGTTCAGTGTGCATGTAGGGGGCGCCGTGGCAATCTTGGATGCAAAAATTTTGCATTCCCCTACCAATGGCCATGAAGAGGAATAGAATTGTTACAGTTGCCCAGGGTATGAAAATATTAAGTCTAACCAGTCCTGGTGCTCTGAAAAGCAGAAGACATTTCTTGGATACATAAAAGAAAAATAACAGTTTGGAGATGACTTTTACTGATGTAATAAAATATTGTATTTATTCTACAACCCTGGATCCCAAGATTCTTGAGGGCAGCTGAAAACCTACCTGAGGTGGGGACCCACTGTTACCCATCTTTATTTCCTTTCCCAGATCCAGACTACATTATACACAGTAAGTTCTCAGTCAGTATTTGCCCAGAGAATGGATGGAGAGTAGACTTCAATCCGGAGAGCTAAATATTTTTGATACACACATTTTAAATGTGTCCTAAATCTGACTTGGTGATCTGAAAATGATACTAGGCACACAACAGATGCAGCAGGGGCTTTTTCTCAGTTAATTCTATTTCCTGTTACCCTCTGTATTGGGTACAAAAATACTCAAAGAGACCTTAAATCAAATACACTGTGCAAATTACCATTTTAAGAGTCTTTTGTCCTTTTCAGCAGCTTACTAAGACACTCTGAGAAAAGATGCTTATTTTTCTTTCTTTTTTTTTTGAGATGGAGTCTCGCTCTGTCACCCAGGCTGGAGTGCAGTGGCGTGATCTCGGCTCACTGCAAGCTCCGCCTCCTGGGTTCACGCCATTCTCCTGCCTCAGCCTCCCGAGTAGCTGGGACTACAGGCGCCTGCCACCACGCCCGGCTACTTTTTTGTATTTTTAGTGGAGACGGGGTTTCACCGTGTTAGCGAGGATGGTCTCGATCTCCTGAGCTTGTGATCTGCCCGCCTTGGCCTCCCAAAGTGCTGGGATTACAGGCATGAGCCACCGTGCCTGGCCAAGATGCTTATTTTTCTAAGTCTCAAACATAAGAATGCCATATCTGAGTATTCTGCTGGTAAATATATTCCAAAAGTGTTTCTATTTGGTTTTAAATATGAAGATCTAGATTTCTTTAAATAACTTTTCATTTTAGACTTTCATATTAGCCTATCATTGGAAATGCTTAGGTGTTTGTTTTTGTTTTTTGAGATGGAGTCTCACTCTGTTACCAGGCTGGAGTGCTGTGGCGTGATCTCAGCTCACTGCAACCTCCGACTCTCTGGTTCAAGCAACTCTCCTGCTTCAGCCTCCCAAGTAGCTGGGATTACAGGCATGTGCTGTCATGCCCAGCTAATTTTTGTATTTTTAGTAGAGACGGGGTTTCATGATGTTGGCCAGGATGGTCTCAATCTCCTGACCTTGTGATCTGCCCGCCTCAGCCTCCCAAAGTGCTGGGATTACAGGCATGAGCCACCATGCCCGGCCAATAAGGTGTTTTGTTGTTGTTGTTGTTGTTGTTGTTGTTTTGTTTGTTTGTTTGTTTTTAAGAGATGGCGTCTTGCTATGCTGCCCAGGCTGGAGTGCAGTAGCTATTCACAGGCCCCATCATCGCACACAACAGCCTCAAAACTCCTGGTCTCAAGTGATCCTCCCACTGAAATTAAATGTTATAAGAGAAAACAGGATTCTATGCTTTATATTAGAAATTTCTAAACAACATTCAAAGTGGATAAAGTGAAATTATCTAAAAATAACACATGCCCATCATATCTTTTAAAGTATGTCTTGCTTACCTTGGCCAACTCTCATCCAGAGGCTGTGAGGAATAATTGGCTCCAAAAGCACTACCATCAAAGTAGAATTTTTAATAAAGGAAAAATAAAAATTAATGGAAAGATGAAGCAGAATTAACAAGGTGGACTCACAGAGAGTTAAACAACTGAGTTTTTGGTTCCTTATCCCTGTACCTGACAGCTCTTCCTTCATGCTTTCTCTTATCTCCCTCCTTGAGGACAAGTCTATTCTGCTGTCTTCTAACCGGTGTTTTCTTTGCATGATTTTTTGTGGGGTGTTTATTATTTTTTGCCTGTCCGGCAACTTTTGTTTTCAGGAACTGTCTCCACTCTTGCTCCAAACCTGGTAACACTGCCATTCCCTCTGTGCCACATGTGAGGGACCCAGGCCCAGGATTCTAGTCTAGGTACCTCACCCCCTGGAAACAGTGTTTGGCTCAGGGATCGGCTCACGACGCAAACAGAACCAAGGAGAGTGCTTTTGAGTGGAAAAAAAAGGAGTGCCCCAATAGGGCTGGTAAGCCCAAGGGCCGTCTGAACCTGGGGGTCTTCACCTTGGAGAAAGCCTGTCTGTTATGCCTGAAGTCATCTCAGAAGTGGTACCACAGAGGTAGGTCTCAATGACATTGTATGACCCCTTGGATCTAGCCCTTGGGCTTCCAGTGACATATGCCAATACATTTTCTTTTTTTAAGTTAAGGTGGGTTCCTGGTACTTATTTATTTTTTGAGACGGAGTTTCACTCTTTTTTTTGGCCCAGGCTGGAGTGCAATGGCGCAATCTCGGCTCACTGCAACCTCCACCTCCCAGGTTCAAGCAATTCTCCTGCCTCAGCCTCCCGAGTAGCTGGGATTACAGGCATGCGCCACCACACCCGGCTAATTTTGTATTTTTTTTAATTAGAGACAGGGTTTCTCCACGTTGGCCAGGCTGGTCTTGAACTCCTGACCTCAGGTGATCCACCCACCTCGGCCTCCCAAATTGCTGGGATTAGAGGTGTGAGCCACTGCGCCCGGCGGTTCCTGGTATTTATAACCAAAAAAGAGGCGCATTAGATGTGTGAAGAAAGGTAAACTTTCCAGTGTTGTTGGGGGCACTGTCTTATCAGTCTTGTGTTGTTCACTGGGTCTACCATGCCTTGGAGCATATTCTGGACGCACGGAGACACAAATGGGATGCTGCACTACACACCGAGCAGAGGGGCGCTGTTTTCATTCGTTTAGTTAATTGTTCCCACACAATAGCCTTCTGAAGACACTGTTAATCATATTATTCTGCTAAGAAATCTTCAATGATTTTGTTCAGCCTAAAAGGCAAAATCAAAACTTACTGGCTTAGTAATTGCGGTGATCCACAATTTGGGGACAATGGTCTCTTCTGCTCTTGTCTTCCCTCCAGCTTTCTGAGTTCCACAAACACAGCCTGTATTTTCCTGCCCCTCTGCCTTTGCTAAGGCCATTTCCCCTTTCTCACCTCCTATGTGGAAGGTTGCCTCCTTATCACTCACCCAAACCAAGCCCATTCCTTTTGTCTCCTGGATCACTGATTGGATTAAATATACATTCGGCAGTTACCAATAATACTTTTCATCCCAAACTTTTATTTCTTAAGGTGGAAATAATAAAGAAGATACAAACTACACATTAAGACAGAAATTTGAAAACAGATATCTAAGCACCTACTGTGTGCCAGGCCTGTGCTGAGTTCACACTTTATTTAACCTCAATCCTGAGAGGCAGATATTTTCCCCATTTTATAGCTGAAGAAACTGAGGCTCAGTTCTAGAAGAGCTGAGAAATCCAAGATCAGATAGCACGCCTGGTGGATCAGGGGTCAGACCCACAAATCACTGACACCAAAGCCTGAGAGCTCTCCGCTAAGCTATGCTGCCTCTCAGGAAACAGTGAACTATGCCAAATGCCCCCAGAAAATAGAAAATAGTACCTGGAGTGTTCTGGGAAGGATGGAGGCTATAAGAGAAGGTACCATCTGCTCGGGCTCAGGAGGAAACAGGAGCCTTGATGGAGTGGGGCCCTATCCTGCAGGCCTGGGCTGGGCAGCTCAAATAAATACAGAATCTGGAATTAGGAAAACGGAGGCTCTCATGAGTTCTTAGTGATTTGGTGGGAAATGTCTTCTTTGCCAGGAGAGGCATTAGGATTGCAAGTTTCATCTTCTATGTATTCGTTTTCTTTGACAAGTCTCATTATCTTATTTCTTAATTTGACCTTAAATCAATAAAATAAAACAGATAATTTCCAAAGAGAGACATTTCTTCAACATTCACTATTAGGCTTAAGGTACATGAAGTACAGATGAGGCAAGACCACAGTAGGAGGTAGGAGAGGAAAAGGTGATAAATAGTAAGGCCCGTGACAGACAAAACCTGTCAGTATTTCTGTTGGCAAAGCCATTAGGGAGGAAACACCGAGCCTCAGAACCTACGGTTATCTGCCTTTCTCTTTTCTGCAGATTTGATGAATCTCTGTTCAGAAACGCTTAATTTCAGGAAGTAGAAGTTTACCATTTTTCTCAGTACACTGCCATCTTTAAACTCAGTATCTCTGATCTCATAGTACTGATAATACAAATTAGAATGCAGTGGTGTAATAGTCACGTAATCATCAAACGCTGGTGATTTCAATGTTGAGGTGTAAGTTAGCATTTTAACCTTCCTGATATTAACAACATGAAAATATAGTAAATTCCTGGAAATTTTTAATATAATTAGGTTGAGGCATCAAAAGTTGAAAGATGTGACCTCTGAGCTCTCTTAATTTTCACTCTCATCTAATTTAGTGGATATTTGAAAACCCAAGAGAACCACTCATGTTATACACTTATACTTAATGCAAGGAAAATCTAGAAGAAGTTTATTTGTTCTTTGGAAAACTTCAGAAAACTTCATTCAGGTGGCTTTAAACTACTCCACAACACTGACATGCCCTAAGTAACAACCTCGAGACAAAGGAAACACTCTTATTTATAAACTTGAATTTACCATTTACTCAAGAAACATTTCTGGCATCCCTGCCAGGTGCCAGCGTGCCAGCGGAAGGGCAGCACAGGTCACAGGGCTTTTAACAACCACATCAGCGCCTCCTCCATTGCTTCCTTAGTTAAGCTTAGTGAAGCCTTTGGCTCAAGGAAGATTTCCACATTAAAAAAGGAAGGCAGGGAGGAGGGATGATGAAAAAGATAAACAAAGAAGAGGTGGCTGCAATGGATGGAAACAAAAATTAAAGTTAAAAAAAAAAATCCCCACACTCACATGGATCTTTTCTTATCCCTCTGTGCACTCCTTTCCGCCCCTTTGCCTTCCGTCCTGATGTTCCCTGGGGTCCTGTGGCCTCGCAGCCTCAGGCCACACCTGCCTGCATTGCTCTGAGAGGCAAAGGATGCTCTCAGGATCCCTGGGCACCAGGCAGAGTGTGAGCAGGTGGAGGGGGTGGCGGGAGCCTCCGGGCACAGGAGCTTTAGGAGGCGCTTCCTAAGAGCCTCAGGGCCAGTGCCCGTCTTCCTGGTAGAGAGCCCCTGTCCTCCATGCTCGCCTTGGCCAATCGCATCCTTCCCTCGGCCCCACTGTCACCCACAGTCCAGTAACTCATAAATCGACACCTCCAGCTCCCAACAGTTCTTTTGTGAACTCCAAGTGCATACTTCCAACTGCCTACTCAAGTTCTCTGCCAAAAGTACCCAAGACAGCTCAAATTCTACCAAAAATCCAACCAATCACTGTCCCCTTAATCTGTTCCTCTTCTTATAGTCCATCTCATTTAGTGAGGCCACCGTCCACCAAGACACTCATGTTAGGATCTCAGAGTCATCCCAGTGTGTTCTCTCTCTCCCCAAGCCTCTGCAGTTCTGTGCAGGAAAATCTTCCTCCTCGAGTTACTGCCTCAATCCATCAACACAGGGACTGCTGTTCCTCTCAACCTGTGGAGTGTTAGAGGGAACAGTTCTTACTCTTCACCAAAGGAAGGGGAGCAGCTCTTCTTCTTCTGATAAGAGAGGACATCAGTTGGCCAGTTTACCAGTGGGTGGGGTTACTGAGCCACAGAAGCTGAAAACAAGACCCGCCCTGGCCCTTTCTTTGTGCTGCTTGACCTGCGGCTGGGTGAGCAGGCCCAGGGTTCCCTTCTCTTGGCTTCCCGTCCCTGTGCGGTCAGTGTACCTGGGCAGGGCTCAGGAACTGCCTTGTCGGGGCAGCCTGGAAGCCAGTCATTTCTCTCCTGCTCTGGAACTCTGTGTTCTGCCAGGGACACAGTTTGTGGGGCAGGCCTGAGACCTTCCATGTAGCTGGTGGGGTAAGTGGGCTCGGAGTCTGGTTAACAGAACCCACCTACCAAGACAAGTTTCAGGGTCAGATTTAATATATAAAACTGGCCACAATTTGGCTCCTTCCTGATTGCTCAGCCATGTGTTTATTGTCATTCTACTTCTTTTTGTCCCTTTACCTCTAACTATGTCCCACTAGAAGACATCTTAAAGTGAAACTGTAAGGGAGGATATGAGTGGCATCTTTTTGAGTCCTTGCATTTATAAGAACATCCTGTTTCCCTCAGCAAATGAGAGGCAAACAGGTTGCATGTGGTATTGTGAAGTCAGAATATTTCCCCCTTAAAATTCTAAAGACCAATGTTTCCTTGTCCTTCAAGATAAGACGGGTGTTAGGTAACAGTTGGATTTTGTGATCACTTAAGTTTTGAAATTCTGGGTTAAAGATAAGAAGTTTATTAACTGCAGGACTTTTCAGAGCCCTGATATATACGGTCAGGCTCCAAGAGGTGATACAGAGTATGGTGTTTCTCAAATGTAATAGGCCATGCATCTCAAAGAAACAGTGTCCTATAAACCAATGTCCTAACATTTTCATCTCATTATGATGAAAAGAATCAAAGCAAGGCCCAGCCCAGAGAGGAGAATCATTCCTAACTCTAGTAGGTCTTAGGCATCTCTTCACGACCCTTCACGCTGGTGAACTCTTGACTTCCTTTCAAGGAAGGCATTTCGTGTTTCCTTCTGAGCGTGTCATCCACAAGGCTGAGAAAATATTTTATTTGCTATAAATTTATGTTAATAGTTCAGAAGTTTAGCAATGGTGTTTGGGACACGGCACGTCTGCCAACCTTGATGAGTGAGAGTAAGAAGGGCTGCTACAGACTGCACATCTGCAGAAGGGCAGAAGAGCTTCTCTTCCAAGTGCCCGAGCCCAGGCCCCCAGCCAGGAGCAAGCCCTGGCAGTGCCTCTCCTCCGCCTGTGTGGGGCTAGGCCAGGGCCCAGCTGCAGCTGTGCCTTGGTCTTGTGTGGCCACCCATGCCAAGGGCAAAGCCCACTCCAGAAGGAATCTCCTGTGGCAGAGCTCTGCGTGCTGTGGCTGCCCACTCTGAGAGGAGGCCAGAGTATTTGTTAAACAATGTTCGTTTTATTTGAGATCACCCTATCATAGGAGTGAACCCTTAAAACCCTTGTCTAAGCCAGTGTGTCTTAAATAACACCCAAGCCAAGAAACAGCTATAATAATTCTGATTTTTTCCTTTTGTTCTAACAAAGATTCAAACTAGTGTTTTATACTTTCAAATGAAGAAACTTCATTTAAAAAGTCATAGACAAATGTTCAAGGCCACAATTTTAAGCAGATTATTTCACAACCAACAGAATGCAGGTCGTGAAAGCAAAGACGGAATCACAGCCCTCCTCCTCCAAGTGGAATAGATTAACACCAAAATAAAATCATCCCATTTCACGGACCCTTGATTCCTCAAAAGAGACTGGGCTAAAGAACTTTCTTTGCATCAACCGATGTCCAGTCCCAGGAACCCAATTTAGGAGCTTAGGAGACCACAGAGACATGGCTCATGATCAGTGAATCTGACTCATACTGTCTAATAACTTTAATTTCTCTGCATATTAACTTGGTTTTTGTTTCTCCTTCCTTTAGGAGTTGACTAGCTTTGCTTATGCTCTCAAGTTGATCCATACAGTGCCAGATTATACCCTATCATAAGAGATAGGGTCCCCTGAACACAAGAAGTCATCTCCCCTTCTGGGTAGGACTTTGCACCACATTCTCTTCCCTCTGCCTGGAACATACCTCCCAACTGCTTTACTCTCTTAAATCTCACTCATTACCATCTAAAACCATTTTCCTTTCTTATTGCCTGTTTGCTGTCATCTCCCACAGGACTGTGAACTCAAGAAAGCAGGAAGTATGCCTCCCTTATTCATCACTGGGTCCCCAGTGCTTAGAACAGTGCCTGGCACAGAGACGGGGCTCTGTAAAGATCTGCTGAATGAACACTTTATCCTCTTACTTCTTATCCTTCAAGCCTCAGATGTTCCCCCAGGATGCCTTCTTCGTTTCCCCAGACTAGTTCAAGCTGCACCTCCGACGTGCTCCCACAGCCCCTGAGCTGCCTCCCTGCAGACGCCATACCTGCCGTGGCTGCTTGTTTGCTGAGTAGCCTCTCCCACTGAACCCTGGGCAACTTGAGGTCAGGGACCATGCTGTTTACTGTTACAGTGAATTAAAATGTCTAAAACGGTGTCTGACCACTAGCACATACTTAACAAATAATTTTTATAAGTGAATAAACATTCTCCTCTTTTTTCTTCAATTCCCTTCTCTATTTTGGTTAGTAAAACTATATGCATGCTTATACATTTAGACCGTACTTCAAAAGTATCTGAGATAGCCACATATACATACACACACGTATATATAGCATAATGTTTAATCTAATATATAGAAATGAGAGCACTGACAGGAAAAAGAGGGAACTGAGAACTGAAAAAATATACATTGGTTTTTTTTTTTTTTTTTTGAGACGGAGTCTCGCTCTGTTGCCCAGGCTGGAGTGCAGTGGCGCGATCTCGGTTCACCGCAAGCTCCACCTCCCGGGTTCACACCATTCTCCTGCCTCAGCCTGGGACTATAGGTGCCCACCACCGAGCCTGGCTAATTTTTTGTAATTTTAGTAGAGACGGGGTTTCACCACGTTAGCCAGGATGGTCTCAATCTCCTGACCTCGTGATCTGCCCACCTCGGCCTCCCAAAGTGCTGGGATTACAGGCGTGAGCCACCATGCCCAGCCAAAAAAAATACATTGTTAAATCAATCAAAGAAACACTCCAAGTCTTTTGCCTGAATATTCTTGGCAATTTGGACAACGGTTTGATGTACCACTCCATCCTGACATGTACAAATTTGCTGATGAATTGCCTCCATTTCCTTTTGCCTTTTTCATTCAATGTCAAAGTTATCACACATTCCAGAATAGATTCTCAAGATCATTTATCATCTTTACTTTCCTTGATAACAGCCACATAATATACAAAATCAGAAGTCAGTCCTTCTGTGGACCAAATGTGGTGTGTTCCTGGGGGCGGGAGAAAGGGGAGAGAAAAACATTCCCTGGGGTCATTATCCTTGCCTCCAAATAGACTAAAAACTGCAAGAAGCTTGAAGGCAAGAAAAGTTGGGGTTTCCCTAGAGTGCCCCCACAACTCCTGGCTCCCTTGTACAAGGTCCTCATCACTGCGAATGGTCGCAGGTGGCATAGGGAGGGGAGAGCACAGGCTGGGCCATCAGCGGGGCCTGGTCTGAATCCTGGGTTACTTCACCACACACTCAGTTTCCTCATCAGAAAATGAGGGTTAAAAAAATTAACGACTCAGTGAGTTTTTGAGGACTAAGTGACACATAAATTACCCAGCACAGCGCCTGGCATGGGTAGGTGCTCAGTAAACATGAGTGCCCTGCCCCCACTTCCTGGTTTCTAGGCTTGTGAAGCCAACTCTACCATCACTGCCAGGAATTCAGCTCTCCGCAGCGAGACCCACCCCGCCTTTCTTCTCCTTCCTCCACCCCTGCGCCCGAGTACTGAGAAGAATGAAGTGAGAGCACGGGCCCTCCTGGCACACTTCTGTGTCCTCTCCCAAAAAATCCAGCTCAGTTCTGTTCCCCAAAGCCTTCGGCACAATGCTGGTCACACAGCTGCACCCACCACTGCCGCCCTGTAAACAGGACTGATTAAATGAAACTGTCAGGTGAATTCACCATTTCCTTTCCTTTATTTCTACTTAACAGCAGAGTTTGGTGTGACTGTACATCACTGCATGAGATTTTCCTATATTCTAGGTTTATTTTAGTTATCACTTACTGAGTTTGAAACATCACAAATAGAAAATAATATGAAATTTTGTCTGTAAGTTCCAAAAGCAGGTCAGCAGATCAAAAGAAGTACAAATAAATCACATATCTCTATGTCCATTTTTGCTAAAGAGACTAAGGCTCTCTAACCTGATTCAAAGTCAGGTTTAACTCTAACGTGGCCAATTTCTGGAGAAAATGCTCAGAACACCCTGCAATGGGACCGAATTACAGGTTGTTTTTGTTGTTATTTCATTAAACTGAACTTTATTGATGCTTTCATAAACACCTACAATGATGTTTCCAAATGTTGACTGCAGAGATGTTTCTAGTTTCCAACTCATTTATTTGTATTGCCTCCTTTCATCAGATAAATGAAGATTCTGAGGCCAAAGGAGAATTGCAGGGAAGATAAATCCTGAAAACTTTTCAAACATTTCAGAATGCACACTCCCTTTGAAGAGTAAAAAAGGATATTTGTCGCCCTGGCTTGTCCCCAGACCTTCGGTGGAGGGGGTGGAAGCGGTTCCTGGATGGCCTCTCCACCAGCCCGTGATGGCGGGTTCCCCGAACATTATCAGCTTGGTGAAATGACGGCTGCAGAGAGAAGGGAAGAAGAGTTGGCCTCCAACCATGAAATTGACACTCACCCTCAAGAACAACTGATAACAACAGGAGATGAAAGGACCGATTTTACAGTTTTACTTATTATACATTAGTGGGCCTTGGGTCAAGGTAAATAAAGTAGTATATGGAACTATTTCTTTATAATAACCATAAAATAATGACAAATAATCTGTAGTGTGTTAAGAGGAAAGCTGAAAGAATAATAAAAGTTGTCATGCAATTGGGGGAGGAGAATCAGAAGACGGTGAACTCATATACTAAATCCCAGAAAACTAGAAAGGACACTTTGAAATGTAAAAGAGGTATATTAAAGAAAGAAACTGGCAAGCCACGAGGCACCTATTTGTTCTGCACAGTGTCTTTTAAAATTTTTGATTGAATTCATAATGTTTGAAAATTCAGACTTGAGGATTCTAGGGAAAAGTCAGAATTTTTTTTGTTTGTTTGTTTTTTGAGATGGAGTCTTGCTCTGTTGCCCAGGCTGGAGTGCAATGGCGTGATCTCAGCTCACTGCAACCTCCGCCTCCCAGGTTCAAGTGATTCTCCTGCCTCAGCCTCCCAAGTAGCTGGGATTACAGATGTGCGCCACCACGCCCAGCTAATTTTTGTATTTTTAGTAGAGACGGGGTTGCACCATGTTGGCCAGGCTGGTCTCAAACTCCTGACCTCAGGTGATCAGCCCACCTCAGCCTCCCAAAGTGCTGGGATTACAGGCATGTGAGCCACCGCACCCACCCATAAATCAAAATATCTTGGCCACAATGAGCCGCACTCATCTCAGGCTCAAGTTGAGCATGGCTGCTCCCTGTAGATGGGACACCCACTCTCTTACTATGAATCCTTACACACAAACCATTTCACTGAC
This sequence comes from Homo sapiens, assembly GCF_000001405.40. Lineage (NCBI taxonomy): Eukaryota > Metazoa > Chordata > Mammalia > Primates > Hominidae > Homo > Homo sapiens. The sequence goes on along the minus strand of NC_000015.10, from coordinate 90,592,740 downwards.
TCATCATTTTAGACATTCAGAGTGTGTAACCCCTGAGTTAAAGAGGAAAAAAGGAATGCTATGTAAATACAAGTGGAAAACATACAAATCATCAGTCCCTAAATGATACAAATGAAAGCAGAAACAGATTGTAGATAAATTCATGGTCAATAAATCCAAAATCCTTTTTAAAGAGATGCTTGGGGTACGTTCTTAACATTTTTGAGACTGGTATCACAAAGGGCAACCTTTTTGGTTGTCAAAAGCCAAATCCTAGGCTGGGCCAATAAATCTCACATAATGAGGCAATGTGTATACATTGTGCAATAGATGTGCTTGTGAAATATAGAAAACAGATTTTCTTCTCCCATCCCCTCCAGCATTAAGGTGTTACTGACAAAGAAAAATTGTATATATTTACACTGTACAACATGATGTTTTGATATATGTATACATAGCAAAATGATGAAATCAAGTTATTAACATATCCATCACCTCACATACTATTCATTTAAAACAGAGTTTTACGTCAATTGAGTCACATATAAAATTGGTAGCTTACTGTGAAAGGAATCCTGTGACGCAATGTTTTTATAGGGGACTTCCTTCAGCTAAAAACTAATTTTTCTTTGTTAAACATGGATTTTCTCATTTTGGTTTTGAGAATTACTCCTATTTCTCCCAAGTGGACTCATAAAATCTCTGGGCCAAATTAGTCTAACAGTTCCGATCTATTTTTATAATCCAAATCTATAAACTCACAAAATAAAGTTATCTTACCAAGGAAAAACTTCTGGGCTGGAAGAAAAATAGCCACTATGATATAGGGAAGCTAGATTTATCTCAGACAATGGAATACTCTATTCTAGAGAATAATATATTGAAATACCTGAAAAATAATGGGACAAACTGACATCAGGTGCTTCTTGGCAAGATGCAATGAGGACACAGGATCTCTTTTTTTTGAGACAGGGTCTCACTCTGTTGCCCAGGCTGGAGTGCAGTGGCACAATCTTGGCTCAATGCAACCTCCACTTCCCAGGCTCAGCCTCCTGAGTAGCTGGGACTACAGTGCATGCCAACATGCTGGCTACATTTTTATTTTTTTGTAGAGACAAGGTCTCGCCATTTTGGCCAGACTGGTCTTGAACTCCTGACCTCAAGTTATCTACCCACCTTGGCCTCCCAAAGTGTTGGGATTACATGCCTGAGCCACTGCACAATTACTGCCAAACTGGGCTCCTGAAGGCCAGTCCACAAGGTGGGGAGAAGGGTCTTTAGAAGGCGTTCCCAAAAGCAGAGAGTTCCTGAAATGTCTTTTAGACTTCCTATTAAATTTTCTAGCTGGGTGCAGTGGCTCCTGTCTAGAGTCCCAGCACTTTGGGAGGCGGAGGTGGGAGAATTGCTTGAGGCCAGGAGTTTGAGACCAGCCTGGGAAACATAGTGAGACCCTGTCTCTACAAAAGAAAGAAAAATTAGCTCTACAAACAAACAAATTAGCTAGGCATGGTGGTACATGCCTGCAGTCCCAGCACTTTGGGAGCATGAGGTGGGAGGACCACTTGAGGCCAGGAGTTCAAGACCAGCCTGGGTAACACTGCAAGCCCTCACTTCTACAAAAAAAAATTAAAAAAAAAAAAATAGTGGGGCGTGGTGGTGCCCACCTGTAGTCCTAGCTACTGGGGAGGCTGAGGCAGGAGGATCACTTGAACCCAGGTGTTCGAGGCTGCAGTGAACTATGATCACACCACCGCACTCCAGCCTGAGCAACAGAGCAAGACCTTGTCTCTAAAACAAAAAACAAAACAAAAGCTCTTATTTTCGATTTAACAGCTGCCTCTTTTGCATTAACCCTGCTGCTGGCCCAAATCCTGTATTACTGCTGGTATTCAGTTGTGGGGTGTTAATCTCTGCTTACATTTGATATTTTCTTCTCTTCTTCACTGTGGCCTAATCTCAACTCTCTGCCCCTGCAGTATCTGATCTTACTCCAAACTATATTTGGCTTAACCTTCTCAATTACTTCTCAAAGATCTTCCTCATCAAATGAATTAGAGTGGCTGTTCAGTTAGGGAAGCCAGAAACTGAAGGAGCTAAGTCTGGGCCGGGTGCAGTGGCTCAGACCTGTAATCCCAGCACTTTGGGAGGCCGAGGCAGGTGGATCGTCTGAGGTCAAGAATTTGAGATCTGCCTGGGCAACATGGCAAAACCCTGCCTCTACTAAAAATACAAAAATTAGGCATGGTGGCACTAGAATCACTTGAACTCAGGTGGCAGAGGTTGCAGTGAGCCAAGATCATGCCACTGCACTCCAGCCTGGGTGACAAAGAAATACTACGTGCCACTCAAAAGGCCAAGCACTTCACTTTTTCTACTCCTTTTCAAGTTTTATCCATGTAAGTTCTTACATGGTTATATCTGCAGAGTACATACAGTATTTTCTTTTATTTATTTTATTATTATTTTTTTGAGACGGAGTTTTGCTGTGTCACCCAGGCTGGAGTGAAGTGGTATGATCTTGGCTCACTGCAGCCTCCACTTCCTTGGTTCAAGCAATTCCCCTGCCTCAGCCTCCCCAGTAGCTGGGATTACAGGAACATGCCACCACTCCCGGCTAATTTTTTTGTATTTTTAGTAGAGATGGGGATTCACCATGTTGGCCAGACTGGTCTCGAACTCCTGACCTCAGGCAATCCGCCCGCCTCAGCCTCCCAAAGTACTGGGATTACAGGCATGAGCCACTGCACCCAGCCTATTTACTTAATTTTTTTATTTTTTGAGATGGAGTCTCTCTCTGTTGCCCAGGATGGAGTGTGGTGCAATCTTGGCTCACTGCAACCTCTGCCTCCTGGGTTCAAGCGATTCTCCTGCCTTAGTTTCCTGAGTAGCTGGGATTACAGGCACAAGCCACGACACCCGGCCAATTTTTGTATTTTTAGTAGAGACTGGGTTTCACCATGTTGGCCACACTGGTCTTGAACTCCTGACCTCAAGTGATCCACATGCCTCGGCCTCCCAAAGTACTAGGATTACAGGGGTGAGCAACTGCACCCGGCCAGTATTTTAAACATTGCACGTTGCCATTCAAAGAATATATCATTTGGGCTGGTTGTAGTGGCTCACGCCTATAATCCTAGCATTGCGGGAGGCCAAAGGGGAGGGTCACTTGAGGCCAGGAGTTTGAGTCCAGCCTGGACAACACAGTGTGAGACCCTGTCTCTACAAAAATTTTTGTTAAATTAGCTGGTGTGGTGATGTGCACCTGTAGTGCTAGCTACTCAGGAGGCCGAGGTTGAGGCTCAGGATCCCTTGACCCCAGGAATGTCAGGCTACAGTGAACTATGATTGAGCCACTGTACTCCAGCCTGGGTGACAGAACAAGACCCTGTCTCTTAAAAATAACAACAGGCTGGGCGCCATGGCTCACGCCTGTAATCCCAGCACTTTGGGAGGCCTACGCAGGTGGATCATGAGGTCAGGAGTTCAAGACCAGCCTGGTCAACACGGTGAAACCCCATCTCTACTAAAAATAGAAAAATTAGCTGGGCATGGTGGTGCATGCCTGTAATCCTAGCTACTCAGGAGGCTGAGGCAGGAGAATCGCTTGAACCCGGGAGGCGGAGGTTGCAGTGAGCTGAGATCGCGCCACTGCACTCCAGCCTGGGTGACAGAGTAAGACTCTGTCTCAGAAAAAAAATAAAAATAAAAATAACGACGACGACAACAACAAAACCCCAAAAACACATATGATTCGGAGTCAAAGAAACAGTTCAAGTTCAGATGTTCCACTTATTAACAAGTTACTTCATCTTCCTTATCTAAAAAGTGGAAATGATAATAACTTCCACAGGCTTGTTGAGAAGACAAAATGATGTTACATACATAAGAGCTGCTTGTCCCAGGGATACCCGGACATTGGAAAGGAGGATGAGTGTCTGCATGGTGGAACCCTGGGAAGCATCTTGTCAAAGGTGGGGCTGACCTGCAGAGTCCTTTCGTGGTCAGGAGCAGCAGCATCACTATTAGGGACTGCCCCAGCATTCTGAGCCTCCCACGGTGCTCCCCAACGGTCCTACAGCTCAGGCACCATCTGTTGCCATTCCAAGTCACCTCTGACGTCACCCAGCTGCAGCCTGGGATGAATGGCTAAAAAAAGTTGACTGGCCCATGTGACTTGCTTTGGCCAATGGCTTATGAGCAAATGTGATGTTCATATTGTTCAAACAGAAACTCTCATACTCTTTTCCTTCTGCCATGAGACTATCATGTCTTAAGTAGGGGATGCTCCTTCAGCCTCAGTTGCAGATGGAGAAGATACACAGAGGAGAGACGTAGAAGGTATTCCAGCACCACGGACAAGTAATATGAGTGAAAAATAAATGTTTGTTGAGAGTCTGAGTTTTTGGATTGTTACTAAAGCAAAGCTGGCTAATATGGTAGTGATGACAGAGAGAGACTGAATGAAATAGAGAGTCCCATTTTTCTTACTTTTTTTTTTTTTTGAGACAGAGTCGCACTCTGTCACCCAGGCTGCAGTGCAGTGGCGTGATCTCAGCTCACTGTAACCTCTGCCTCCCAAGTTCGAGCAATTCTCCTGCCTCAGCCTCTTGAGTAGCTAGGATTACAGGCATGTGCTACCATGCCTGGCTAATTTTTTAATTTTTTTATTTTTATGTTTAGTAGAGATGGTTTTGCCATGTTGCCCAGGCTGATCTCGATCTCCTGGCCTCAAGTGATCCACCCCCCTCGGCCTCCCAAAGTGCTGGGATCACAGGCATGAGCCATTGTGCCTGGCCCCATTTTCTTGAAGAACAAGGGAGGTGTAAGTCAAAAGAATCTGCAAATGGGAGCCAGGCATAGTGGCTCAGGCCTGTAATCCCAGCACTTTGGGAGGCTGATGTGGGTGGATCATTTGAGCTCACAAGTTTGAGACCAGCCTTGGCAATATGGCAAAACCCCATCTTTACAAAAAATACAAAAATTTGTCAGGTGTGGTGGTTCACGCTTGTAGTCCCAGCTACTTGGGAGGCTGAGGCAGGAGGATCACTTGAGCCTGGGAGGCAGAGGTTGCAGTGAACTGAGATCCTGCCACTACACTCCAGACTGGGTGACAGAGGGGAGACCTTGTCTCTAGTAAATAAATACAGAAAGCAAGCAAGAAAGAAACGAACCTGTAAATAGGACTCTATGTGTTTTAAGGAGGGCCTTAGGCTCAGGATCTGAAAAGCACTCTACTGTTTCAGAACATGGGACCTAGACATCAAATGAGGAAGAGAAGGCTTCTGTGCCTCCATACAGAAATGGTTCTCCACATCAGTGTCTGGGATCCAGTGCTAGATAGACCGGGGAGGGGAGTGACATGGCTAATGCTAACGGCAGAACTCTTTCTGTAATGAAACAGGACGTGTGAATCTTCCAAAAGAAGCAGAGTTGTGGATTTCCAGGTAGAAGTTTAGAGCTAACGGCAGACAGTACCATACTCCCGGAGTACTTCCCCAAGGGACCTAGAGCTCAGTTAGATGAGATATCAGTTACGTGTAGGTGCACACCTACCTATCACATAGCATCTGAAAGCTGCAGCCTGGGATGAATGGCTGAAAAGTTGCAACTAGATTTCGTCACCTAGGGGGGAAATTACTTCCTCTAATTTAGACACTATTGATCTATCAATGTGACCTACATTTGCATTAACTGTTTGGGTAGATGTACTGTACTGTTGGCATATCATTATGTTTGTGGTTAATTAGAAACCCCAGATCTTACTTGACTGGTAAACCATAAGCAGATTCCTACATAAGCCCACGCTAAGTTAGGAAATGAGCTGAAGTCCAAGAATTGGAGAGTTGTTGTTTATTATCAACTAGGAAGATTATCATTATCAAAAGCATATATGGTACAGTATATTCTTTATGTGTGAACAATCAAGACATACATTTTTCTTCTGCAGCTAAGTAGCAAAATAAATCCTAGCTTATAGTTGTATTTTTATACAGTTATTAAAAACAGGAGAAATGTAATTTCCAAATACCTTGAAGTGAAATATGGGTTTCTAAATGCTAATGGTATGACCAAATACATCCTTCCATGTAAGAAGTTCTACAGGGCCAGGCACGGTGGCTCACACCTATAATCCCAGCACTTTGGGAGGCCAAGGTGGGTGATCATGAGGTCAGGAGTTCAAGACCAGCCATGGCCAACAGAAACCCCGTCTCTACTAAAAACACAAAAATTAGCTGGGCATGGTAGTGAGAGTCCGTAGTCCCAGCTACCGGGAGGCTAAGGCAGAAGAATTGCTCGAACCCAGGGGGCAGAGGTTGCAGTGAGCTGAGATTGTGCCACTGCATTCCAGCCTGGACGACAAAGCGAGACTCCATCTCAAAAAAAAAAAAAAAAAAAAAAGAAGTTCTACCAAGTTTTAAAAAATATATTAAAAACATGCAGAAAACCAGGATTAAGCATATAAATGGTTAATACTTTGAAAAAGTATTGATCCAGAATACCACAACCTCAGCATCTGTACAAAGGGGTGCCTAATCGATATTCTCAAACAGAAGCAATTCTACATAAGACAACTCTTAGTAGCTTCAATGACAGACCTCATGATGACTCGTGATCAAGAAAAAAAGTGATAAAACTCCTGCAAGAGCAACACATATTTTCCTGGAATACCATCGTCAACACTGGGAATGGGTACTTGCATGAAGCTTCAATATTACAGAGGACTGCACCGGAATGTGATGTCACCATTATTTTATGCTATGAGGACAATGTGCTAGCTTGAGCCAGGGGTCATTTATGTGGCAATTTCAACCATCTCAGTGGTGAGCCAGAAAGCAAAGAAAGCCCCTAAATAACAAAAATGGATAAGAACCCCAGAGGACAGCAGTTAGAAAGGAACCCCTCCAGTTCTGCATCACACCCCACCCAGGTCTAACAAACTGAGGCATCTCATTTTCCAGCTTGCAGTAGGTGAAAATAAGGTGGGGATAGGCAAAGGAAGGGAACTGGAGTTGCTGGCTTAGCAGAGAAAGCAACACAAGTAAAAGCAAGAGGGAGTGGAATTCTGCTCTTTCCTTCTACAGATGGGAAACCAAGGTACAGAGAGCTGAAGTGATTTTTCTCAAGATTGCAGAGCTAGTTTGTAGCAGCCTAAAAACTAAAACTCAGGATCCCGAGCCTCATTCAGTATTCTCTTTACCTCACCGCTTTGCCTCCTTTGCTATATAGCCTACATAAAATCAATTCTTTTTGAGATTTTACACAGATTTGTACTGATATATACAGAAGTTAAAAAAAAAAATATTAAGGAATTTTCCAGACTGGGCACCATGGCTCATGCCTGTAATCCCAGTACTTTGGGAGCTCATGGTGGGAGGACTGCTTGAGCCCAGGAGTTCGAGACCAGCCTGGGCAGCATAGCCAGACCTTGTCTCTGCTAAGAATTTAAAAACTAGCTAGCCACAGTGGCACACACCTGTAGTCCCAGCTACTTGGGAGGCTGAGGTGGGAAGATCCCTTGAGCACAGGAGGTGGAGGCTGCAGTGAGCTATGATCATACCACCGCACTCCAGCCTGGGGCACAGAGCGAGACCTTGTTGTTTCAAAAAAGAAAAATGAAAAAGAAATTCTCCAGATAAATTGTATTACATTCTTCTAAATCCACTGAAGATTTAAGATTCAATTACAGGTTAACAGTCTTGCTAAGACACCTGACTATGATGCAATACAAACGGCACACCTACAAATTGACGTTGGCTCCAGTAGTCTCATTTGGAGTAAGTATCTAACTTAATATTTATGTAAACGGTTAGCTAAAAGTCACAAAGCTATTCATTGACGATAATGCTTCCTCTGATAGAATTAAAATGCTACCCCAACCCTTCTTAATTCCTCTGTATACTTGGGTTTGTATCTGTTTCCAACAGAGCTTGGGTAGGAGAGGAGACTGGTTGGAAACGTAGCTGGTAGTAGAGACACTAGATAGGGTAGTGTCTATCTACCCTATCTGCCGTTAATGCTTGGCTCTAACGGCATCCTTAAACTCATCACTTAGCTCTACTGGGCCTCCAGCTTGCCCATGATGCTGCTTGGTTCTTCTTTAGTTTACTTCTTTAGTTCTTGACAAATGTGCGACAGATTGGCCACCAGTACTAAATAAATTTCTGTTGGTGTCCACCCTGGACGACATAATGAGACCACAACTCTTTTTTAAAAATTCTGCTGGGGGCCGGGCACGGTGGCTCATGCCTATAATCCCAGTACTTTGGGAGGCTGAGGCGGGAGGATCACCTGAGGTCAGGAGTTCGAGACCAGCCTGACCAACATGGTGAAACCCCATGTCTACTAAAAATACAAGATTAGCCAAGCATGGTGGTACATGCCTGTAATCCCAGCTACTGGGGAGGCTGAGGCAGGAGAATTGTTTGAATCCAGGAGGTGGAGGGTGTAGGGAGCTGAGATCGTGCCACTGCACTCCAGCCTGGGCAACAGGAAAGAAACTCCATCTCAAAAAAAAAAAAAAAAAGCGTTGGTGAAGAGTGGAAATTTATCAAGTTTAGGAAGTAAGGCAGGTTCCTGAAGCTTGCAGGGCTCTTTATTTATATGCAGACTGAAGCTAATGGAAGATGTTATAGCCCCCCTCTTTTAAAAAGGACAAGTCTAAATAACAAAGGAACAACTGTGCCTCTCTTGGGAACCCAGCTGGAGATCATTCTAGGCACTGCCAGCACCTCCTTTGATTCTCATGACAAGTGGGGGAGTCGTGAAGGCCTGTCCACAACAAAGGGGCTGCTATTAATTCACACTGCCTTGGGGTTAAATGGATCATTTAAGTCTACCTTACAAACTAAGCGGAATAAAAAAGGATGTCATACTTGGTTAAATACCCTATTATAACATCATTCAAAAAAAAAAGAAAAGAGAAACTTCAAGAGAAGTTCAAAATGTATAACAAATCTCCAGCGTCAGACCTGCCAGCACCCAGCCAGCCTCTCTGACAGCAGCCCCCAACACTCTTCCTTTGCCCTCTGCAGTGCTTAGGTATGCCAGCAGGCAGGGGCTTCAGTTCACAAAACTCCTGTGAGGCTCCCAGCTGTTCTGGGTTTTGGAAGGCTTTTCCCCCAGCAGCCTGCCAGCACTACACTATCTTTGGGGCTAGTCTATTCCAGTCTCGCAGAAGTGATTAGACTTTCAGAGCCCTTGAACCACCTAGATGGGTTTTTTGTTTGTTTTTAACCTGGAGGCTATGCCTTTTTTGACCAGCTGATCTGGGGATCCAATCTTCTCCAAAGGACCAAATAAGTCTTGCTGTGAGGCATGAAAAGAAGAGATGAAGAGCAGAACAGACCAGAGAAGGCACCAGCACCCAACCTGCTGATTTAGGACCTGGCCTATCACCATGTCTGTGGCCCTTGTGTTGCCCCTTCCTAGTCTGTATTTTTAAATGAAAGATAAAAGGGAAGTAAAGTTAACAGATAAACTAAGTTAAAAGGTGACTCCAGAAAATGATAGAGATAAAACAGTTTTGGGGTTGTTTTGTTTTTAGCAGGTAAAGTCAAAATCAGACCAATCAAAATGATCACAGAGGGCCAGGCAAAATAATTTCTCAAAATAAGAAATAATGGCTGGGTGTGGTGGTGGCTCACACGTGTAATCCCAGCACTTTGGGAGGCCGAGGTGGGAGGATCGCTTGAGCTCAAGAATAGGAGGCCAGCCTGGGCAACATAATGAGACCCCATCTCTAAAAAAAAAGAAGAAGAAATAACGACAATGCATAAAACACGCCCAGAGTTCATGCTGGGGGATCCTGCTCAAGAAAAGGCAGAGAATAAGGTCTATGTCTCAGGCAGAGCTTCTCACCTGGAGAAGATGGATCATGTTCATTCCCTGACCCTGATGGAGCAGGCTGTAAGCAGTGAGACCTCCCCCAGCATCTTCCCTCCAGCATTTGCACAGCGTCAGCCACACAGTGGGCTCCAACACGTGTTTGCTGAATTACATAATGTTTCTAAATGATTTGGCTCCAAAGAGGAATGTGTACCCCCAGGGGATTTACAGGATGGCATAGGGTATGGGGAAAACATTAGAAGTTCTGTTTCCACTTAGCTTTCTATTTTTTTGTATACTTAATATTAACAATACAGTGTTATATGTACATAATTTAAAAAACAAAGAACATACCCAAATTGGGGATATAAAACTCTTTTTACTACTAGGCTGCATAATCAAAAAGTTTAAATGCAAAGTGTTGATCGTTATTAAAAACTGGTGAGGGCTATATGGGAGCTTCTTATTCTACTCCTACTTTTCTGTACAGCTACAAATTTCCACGATAAAATGAAGAATTTCAGCTTCAAGTTCTCAGGGATGGCATAGCAGGGTGAATGCAGACCCAAGCCTCTAAAGGCACTTTACTGTCTTTCCACAGAGCGCCACCCAAGCCTCCACAGAAGTAGAAGTTTTAAACTGCCTGTTCCCATCCCCACCTCCCCACCTGGTGTGATATCTTTGGGTGGTGAGGGAGGCCTTCCGTTGAGTGTAGTTCTCCTTTTAACTTTAATGCTAATAAGACAATGACTAGAGAAATATGTTCTGGGTAAATCAGGTTTGCCCATTTATCTCCTCCAGAGGAAGCTGATTTGCTTCTTATGGTGATAGAAAGGAACTGCAGAAGGGAAGAACTGGCTTTTGATCAACTAAGACTTGAGCAGTGGCAGGAGTCCGGCCTAGTGGCTGGTAAGGCAACTGGCCAAAGGCACCCTTGGAGGCCACAAGGGTCAGGTAGGCACTTCAGGCCAAGCAGGAAAGGAGACAAAGTGCCTGAGCCTCTGTTCATCCCACACCAACCTCTTCCTGCCGTAGGAAATATATGTAAAAGACAGGCACCTGTCAGCCTGCCGACTCCCTCCTTTCACCCCCACTGCATTCTGAATCACACCAGATCCACCGCTGTGATTCAACTTGGTAGGACACTTCACTGAGTTTAGAAGAGATTGTAATTTGGAATTAAAAGAGAAAAAACAAAGGGGAGGGGACAGATGAAACAAGAGTGGCAAAATGTTGAAAAATATTGAATCTGGTGATGAGTCTATGGGGGTTCTTTATTCTACTTTGGGGAAGATTTTACATTTCCAAATAACAAGTTTGATTTTTTAATTAAAGTTATGATACTGTCATAAATTAAAGGTGCCTTTTCAGTTTTAACTCAATAACTTCTACATATATGCCAAAAAAAGAGATGAAGGCTGTGTTTTCTACCATACAGCCAGCCAACAAAACAACTTTTTTTCACACTGTTGATAACTTTAAAGGACAAAATAAGCATACGATGTCACAAAGGAACTAGGAAAGTATAAGAGAAAACATGTCTGGAAAGAATAAAATGCTCTGGAATATTTAGTTAGATAAAGCACATGGTAATTCTAAATAAAGCATATTGAATTTTTAAAAAAACTTACATCCTGTTTTTTATTTAAAAGAGCATAGGGTACTTTTCCTCATCTGGCCACTAGCTCATGAAAAGACACACACAGTGTCCTTGTCCTGTTCTGTCTGGACTCATAAGCCACAGAGTTTGGAATGATCTTCCGGGCCAGCCAATGCAACCAGACAGCATCCTCACCAAAGGCCATCTAGCCGCCACCAGACCCCTCTGAAGATGGGAACGGAGTACTTTCCCAGGCAGGCCACTCCTTTCTCATCCAGCCATGCTTCTGATATGTTCTCCCTTAGGCTGAGCTGTAAAGTGTTCCTAAGCATTCACTATCTCTTGGGAGAATCTGCCCAGATGAGAGGTTGCTAAAAATTCATCATGGTTTAAACAGCAGAAAAATACAAAAATAAATTTTTTTTTTTAATTCATCATGGTAAGAACTTTAGTCTCCATAACGAACCAAGCTACCAAAAATGGAAGAACTGGTCCCTGAAACCAGATTCTCCATTTAATCTCAGTTAAAGCCATAACTGGATCTGGGCGCTTGTTTGGAGACTGAGTTGGTCTGGCATTCCTTTTGTCAAACAAACAGAAAAACCAGTGGGCCGGGTGCAGTGGCTCACGCCTATAATCACAGCACTTTGGGAGGCTGAGACGGGTGGATCACCTGGGGTCAGGAGTTTGAGACCAGCCTGGCCAGATGACGAACCCCATCTCTACTAAAAATATAAAAATTAGCTGGGTGTGGTCATGCACGTGCCTGTAATCCCAACTACTCTGGAATCTAAGGCAGGAGAATCGCTTGAACCCAGGAGGCAGAGGTGCAGTGAGCCAAGATCACGCCACTGCACTCCAGTCTGGGTGACAGAGCGAGCAAGACTCGTCTCAGGAAAAAAAAAAAAAAGAAGAAGAAGAAAAACCAGCGGGACTGACACTAAGGAAGCCTATTCTTCCTATCTGCAAGTCCCCACTTTTGCCTACAGACAGGGGAGGGAAAACTAACCACTCTGTGAGCCTTAGGAGTTACTGAGGAGTAAAGGTCATAATGCTATCCTCTCCTGGCTCCCGGCTTCAGTGCTGAACCTTTGAGAACCCAGACAAGGGAACAGTGATTAACCAGCTTCCTCAGTCTCCAGAAGAATAACATATATAGTTCATTTGAGGATTTATGGGAACTCAGATTAGGCATAGTCCTAACTAAACTGGAGAGTCTCCTTACCTGGTACCCTAAAAAATAAATAAGGAGAAATATTTATTAGTGAATGTGATTATTTTTGTGGGATTTCAAAGTTTTGAAATATTTCCTCTTTTTGTATTTCTTCTGATGTTCCTGAGTGGGGATGTGCAATCAGCATGTAATATAAAACTAGAGATTAAAAGTAAAATACGTGTCTGGGCAGGTGGCTCATGCCTGTAATCCCAGCACTTTGGGAGGCCGAGGCGGGTGGATCACCTGAGGTCAGGAGTTCAAGACCAGCCTGGCAAACATGGTAAAACCCTGTCTCTACTGAAAATACAAAAATTAGCTGGGCATGGTGGCGGGTGCCTGTGCTCCCAGCTACTGGGGAGGCTGATGTAGGAGAATTGCTTAAACCCAGGAGGCAGAGGTTGCAGTGAGCCAAGATTGTGCCATTGCACTCCAGCCTGGGTAACAGAACAAGGCTCTGTCTCAAAAAAAAAAAAAAAAAAAAAAAAAGTGAAATACGTTTACTCCATGTAATCATTCAGACACATGCTCTAAAATCACAATGAAATTTACAGAGAAATGCTAAAGAATTTTTTCCCAGGGGAAGGGGACAGCCAGTGTGAGGCTTTTGCCTATGACACAATAATTACTACCCCATTTCCTCTTTCCTTCCCTATAAACCAGCCTTAGAGCCCACTCGGTCAAGCTATAGTGGATAGGGCCAGGATGTTCCAGGCCATGGTCCTCTTCCTTGACCCAAGAACCAGGACTGTCCACTTCCCCAAGGCTGTCGGTCCCCAGTGGGGAAGAGTGGAGCACAGCTGTCCCTCAGTACGCAGGGGGATTGGTTCCAGGGCCCCCTACAGACACCAAAATCTATGCATACTCAAATCCCTGATATAAAAGGGCACAGTACTTGTATGTAACCTACAAACATCCTTCCATATACTATAAATCACCTCCAAATTATTTATAATACCTAATACAAAGCAAATACTATGTAAATAGTTGTCATACTGTATTGTTTAGGGGATAATGACAAAGAAAAAACATGTTTAGTAAGGATGCAATTTTTTTTCTAATATTTTTGATCTGTAATTGGTTGAATCTACATATGCAAAACCAACCCTCAGATAATGAGATAATGGAGGACCAACTGTACAGGCAAAGATCCACACCTCACAGGCACACAGCAAGATTTAGCTTCTTAGACACAGAACAGACAGATTACAGATGCTTAGAATCATTAGTAAATAAGAAAATTCAGGCCCTGTTGTAATCATTACTTTTAAAGATAACTAAACAGTTTACATCACGTTATTTAAATAAGTAATATATTGGCATTCTCAACAAATACCCTATATAACAGTGGAGAGTGACAAGGCATCCTCAATTCTCGCTCCCCTTCGACCCAGTTCCCACCTCACAATCGATACCAGATTTTTTGCTTCTTGTGAGTCCTTTGAAATACTGATTATGCATGTACAGCAAATAAGAATACATATTACTGCTGCTCTTTATTAAACATATGTGTATAATATAACTCTATACATGCATTTATAATTTACCATCTTTACCTTCTTTTTTTTTTGAGATGGAGTCTCGCTCTGTTGCCCAGCCTGAAGTGCAATGTTGCGATCTCAGCTTACTATACCCTCTGTCTCCCGGGTTCGAGCAATTCTCCTGTCTCAGCCTCCCGAGTAGTTAGTAGCTGGGATTACAGGTGTATGCCACCACGCCTCGCTAATTTTTGTATTTTTAGTAGAGACGGGGTTTTGCTATGTTGGCCAGGCTGGTCTCGAACTCCTAACCTCAGATGATCTGCCCACCTCAGCCTTCCAAAGTGCTGGGATTACAGGGCTGAGCCACTGTGCCCAGCCCATCTTTACCATTTTTAAATGTACAGTTCAGTGGTAATAAATACATTTGGCCAGGTGCGGTGGCTCATGCCTGTAATCCCAGCACTTTGGGAGGCCGAGGCAGGTGGATCACCTGAGGTCAGGAGTTCCAGACCAGCTTGACCAGCATGGTGAAACCTCATCTCTACTAAAAATACAAAAAATTAGCTGGACCTGGTGGCGCACGCCTGTAATCCAAGCTACTAGCTACTCGGGAGGCTGAGACAGGAGAACTGCTGAATCCGGGAGATGGAGGTTGCAGTGAGCCCAGATCGTGCCACTGCACTCCAGTCTGGGCAGCAGAGCGAGACTCCATCTCAAAAATTTAAAAATAAATAAATAAATATCCCTTTTCTTCCTTCATCCCCCTCTCCCTTTCCTGGCCTCTGGTAGCCACCAATCTAACTGTGTGTCATTGTGGTATCTACTTTTTTAGCTCCGACATATGAGTGAGAACATGCGATATTTGTCTTTCTCTTATTTCACTTAACATAAATGGCCTCCAGTTCCATCAGTGTTGCTGTAAATGATAGGATTTCACTCTTTTTTATGGCTGGATGATATTCCATTGTGTATACATAACCTGTTTTCTTTATCCATTCATCTGTTGATGGACAGTTAGGTTGATTCCATATTGTAAATAGTGCTGCAATAAACATGGGAGTGCAGATATCTCCTCCCTTTTTACACAAATGGTAACTTACTGATACACTGTCTGTACCTTACTTTTTAAACTTAATCTTCAACTAAATTTCTAAACCTGAATCCAATTTCTTAGAGGCTCCTTCTCAAAATAGCCAAGCAAAAATATTAGACAGCTCAACAAAATTAAAAGTCAAAACTGTCAGGGAACATATACCAACACTATAATTGACTTACTCTCTGCCAGACTGATTTGGCCAACTTCTCCAACCCCTTATATCCTTCTCAGTATTACTTGGTCCTCAAAGAACAGGATCACAGACTGCTTCCTCCTCTCCTCTATTAGCTCTTTCCATCTGCATTTAAATGTGGGCCAAAGGCTGGGCCTGGTGGCTCCTGCCTGTAATCCCAGCACTTATAATGGTAATGGGGAGATTGAAAGTGGCAAGATTAACTGCCGCTGGGATGTGCCACAGCTGGGAAGAGGAGAGCCAGTGTGAGCCACTGCATGGCAGCCTGAGCAAGAGGGCAATATTCTATCTCAAAAAAACAAAACAAAACAAAACAAAACAAAAAACAAACAAATGGCCCAGCCTCTCCCACGTAAAGCTGGGGAAGGAGGAGACACAAAAGTCGCTAACTTGCTGCATCATCCTATTCCTCCTCCTTGCCCCGGTGTCCCGGTGTCTCTCCTCTTCACAGCCAAGCTTTGTGATGAAGGAGTTGCCTCAACTCCACTTCCTCAACTCCCACAGACCTCAGCCCCCATCCCTCTGCTCCACCGAAATTTCCCAAGATAACCACAGACTTTGCACGCTACTAAATCCAAATGGGCATTTTCAGCTCCTGACCTCTTGGAACACTGGAAATTACTGACAGTTTGCTCTATTGAAAACATTCTTCTCCTGGCTCCTGGGGCTCCATGCCGTCCCATTTTTCTCCTACCTCTCTGAGTGTTTCTTTCCAGTCTTCTTCGCACACTCCTGAACTTCCTGACCATCCTTTAGTGCTGGGGTTCCTCAGGGCTCTGTCATATCACTCCATCTCTCTAGCCCAGATGTCTCTCCAGAGCTTCAGACTTATACATTCAACAGCCCACTGGACCACACTCTTCTAGGACTACCTGCAGGCACCTCAAACTCAATATATTTAGAAGTGAATTTGCCATCTTCCTCCTAAACCAGCCCCTATCTCGTGTGTTTCAAATCGCTGGGAATGGCGCCACTCGACGGCCTAACCCAGAAAGTTTGGGGTCATCCTTGAGTGCTTCCTCCTCATCCCTGCACATCTCAGTCATCACCAAGTCTGGTCATTTTGACCATCTATTTATTTTTATTTATTGTATTGTATTATTTATTTATATTTTAGAGATGGAGTCTCATTGTGTTGCCTAGGCTGGCCTCAATTTCCTGGGCTCAAGTGGTCCTCCCACCTCAGCCTCCTGAGTAGCTGGGACTACAGATGCAGGCCAGTGCACCTGGCCATTTTGACTTTCTAAACACCTCTTGAACCCAATACTATCCTCAACTCCTCATCTATCCATTCTCCCCTGGATTACTGCAACAATCTTGTCATTGGTCTTTTTGTCTCTAATCTTGTTTCCTCCAACCTAGTTCTACCCTGCAGTCAGAATAATCTTCCTAAAACACAAATCTGATCATATCCTTAGCTGCATAAAACCCAATAATAAAAGCATTTTTTAAAAAGACCTCAACAAGCCGATTTTAAAGTTCATTTGGTTGGCAGTAACACTGGTGTAAAGAGAATAAATAAATAAATAAAGTTCATCTGGAAAAATAAACATGCAAGAATAGCCTAGAAAAATCACCGAAAAGCAGCATGAAAGTGAATTAATCTTACCAGGTTTCTAAAATATAATATGAAGCTATAATCATTAATTAAAATAGTGTGATTCTGGTGTATGAATAGACACGCAGATTAATAAAAGAGAATAGGAAGTCTCAAAATCCAATCAAACTATGAGAATTTAGTTTATGATGGAAGTAGCATTTAAACTATCGGAGAAAAGATGATTATTCATAAATAGTGTTGAGACAACTAGCTAGCAAAGTGGAAAAAAAATAAGCCAGATTCACACTGCATACCTTACACTGGCATAAGCACATGATGGATCAAAGATTTTATATTTGAAAATAAAGGTATAAAGTGTTAGCAAAAACAAAAGAAGATAACTTTCTAACTATAACAAAAAACCTGGGAGCAACCAAAAAGGCATTAACTTTTCTTTTTTTTGAGACGGAGTTTCATCCTTCTAGCCCAGTCTAGAGTGCAATGGCACAATCTTGGCTCACTGCAACCTCCGCCTCCCGGGTTCAAGCGATTTTCCCGCCTCAGCCTCTTGAGTAGCTGGAATTGCAGGCACCTGCCACAACGCCCATCTAATTTTTATATTTTTAGCAGAGACGGGGGTTTCACTCAGTTGGCCAGGCTGGTCTCGAACTGCTGACCTCAGGTGATCCACCCACCTCAGCCTCCCAAAGTGCTGGGATTACAGGAGTGAGCCACTGCATCCAGCCAACATTAACTTTTGATACATGAAAAAATTGTAATGTCTGTTAGAAAAAAAATTTCAGTATAAAGAAAGTCAAATGACAAGTGGCAAATGTGGAAAATATTTACATCTCATATCACAGATAAATGGCTAGTTTTTCTAATATATAAAAACTCCTAAAAATCAGTAAGAAAAAGATCAACCACACAAAAGAATTAAAGGCAAAAGATATGAACAGATTGTTCACGGTAAACATAATACAAATGGTTCATAAACAGGAAAAAACACACGTTACTCATAAGAAAAATGCACAAATTAAAACTAAACAGAAACATAATTTTTCTACTATGTAGACTAACAGAGATCAAACAGTTTGACAAAACACTGAGTTGGGGAGGATGTGGGCAAACAGGCACTTTCATATACAGCAGAGAGGAATGTACAACTTCTAGGGAGGGTGAACTGACAATATCTACTAAAACTACACATGCATATGCTTGTGCCCCAGCAACTTCACTTCTAGTCATTTTTCTTGCAGCTATACCTGTATATGTATGAAACTGTATGTGCATAATGTTGTTCATTGAAGCATAGTTTTTTTGTTTTGTTTTGTTTTGAGACAGAGTCTCGCTCTGTCACCAGGCTAGAGTACAGTGGCGCGATCTCGGCTCACTGCAACCTCCGCCTCTCAGGTTCAAGCTATCCTCCTGCCTCAGCCTCCTGAGTAGCTGGGACTACAGGTGCGCACCACCACACCCAGCTAATTTTTTGTATTTTTAGTAGAGACAGGGTTTCACCATGTTGACCAGGATGCTCTCGATCTCTTGACCTCGTGATCTACCAACCTCGGCCTCCCAAAGTGCTGGGATTACAGGTGTGAGCCACCACGCCCGGCCAATAAGTTTATATATTTTTTTAAAATCTGTAAATTACTTAAATGTTCATTAATAGGGAACTAGCTGAATAAATTATGACAAAGTCATATAAAAGAATACTGTGTACTAATTTTTAAAACAGATAAAGGTGTACTTTGTGAACTGACATGGGAAGATCTCCAAGATGTATTATTCACTTAACTTTATTCACTTAACTTCATTCAAGCAAGGTACAGACATGTGTATGGTCAACTATCTTCAGAGAAAAGTGTGGCATGAGGTGGACTATATATTCACATTTGCTGATACATACATAAAATATTCCTGAAGGAATAAATAAACGTGACAACAGTGGTTGCACCTGTGGGGAGTGAACTGGGTGGCTAGGACAGAGATGGAGAGGATACTGTTCACTGCACTTTTTGCTTATCTTTAATCTTAGACCACATGAATGTATGTTCATATGTATCTGCCTAAAAACATAACTAAAAGTAAAATCAAAGAACATATTACAAAGTTACAATAATATACTGATGTGGAAATGGACAGAGGAATAGGTAGCCATATCAATGGGAAAAAAAACAGTAAAAAACAGAACAAGCTATGTAAAAAAGAAATTATTCAAGAATTGAGACAATAGATTAGCTACAGAGGAAAAAAAAAATGGGAACCCTCTCTCAAATCTCACATCAAAATAAATTCCAAAGTAATAATAGCATTAGAATACAATATGGATGAAAAACGGGTGAATGTTTAAGAAATCTTGGCATGATTAAGGCCACTCTAAACATACTAGAAATTGTAACACAGCAGTCACAGAAAGACCAACACATTTAACTCATACAAATTAGAGCATAAAACTCCCAAACAAAAACTACTAGATGGAGAAAATATTTGGAATATACAAGGAAGATTACGGTAGACAGACTCCAAGGTATCCCACAATGATGTCCACCTCCTGGTGTTCACGCCTTTGTGGAATCCCCGCCCTTGAGTAGAGGCAACACCTGTGACTTGTTTCTACCCATTATGCTAAGTGAAATAAGCTGGTACAAAAAGACAAATAGTGTGTAATTTAACTTGTACGAGACACCTAGAATAGTTAAATTCATAGAAACAGAAAGTAGAATGGTGATTCAGGAGCTAGTGGGAGGTGGCATGGGGAGTTGTTAATAGGTACAGAGTTTCTGCTTTGCAAGATGAAAAAGTTCTGGAGATCTGTTTTACACAACAATGTGAATATACTTAACACTAATGAACTGTAAACTTAAAAATAAATCAAGATGTTAAGTTTTAAGTTATGTGTTTTTTAACCACAGTTTTTTTAAAAAATGGATATATTGGCGGGGCATGGTGGCTCACGCCTGTAATCCCAGCACTTTGGGAGGCCAAGGTGGGCAGATCACCTGAGGTCAGGAGTTTAAGACCAGCCTGGCCAACATGGTGAAACCCCGTCTCTACTAAAAATACAAAAATTAGCTGGGTATGGTGACGCACAGCTGTAATCCCAGCTACTCAGGAGGCTGAGGCAGGAGAACTGCTTGAACCCGGGAGGTGGAAGTTACAGTAAGCCAAGATTGCACTACTGCACTCCAGCCTGGGTGACAGAGTGAGACTCCATCTCAAAAAATAGAAATCAAAAAAAGGATATATCCAGTGGGGAAGAGTATATGAAAGAACAGACACTCATATGTTGGTGAGAGTAGAAATTGATATCACCTTAACAGGGAATAATACGGTAATATCTACCTTAATTTTAAATGTACAACCCTTCTTACCCAGCTATTTTACTTCTAGGAACATATCTCACAAATACCCTTATGTAAATATCCAACACGATATCATAACAAGAATGTTCCCTGCAGTTTTCCTCTGTAATAGTGAAAAACTAGACATAATCTAATTGTCTCTCAATAAGAGACTGGTTATATAAATGATGGGATAGCTACATAAATGGCTGTGCTGCTGTCATTAGAAAGAATATATATCTTTAGGTACTGACATAGAAAGATACCTAAGGTGTATCAAGTTCTGCCTTTTTTTTTTTTTTTTTTTTGAGAAAGAATCTCGCTCTGTCAGCCACGCTGGAGTACGATGGCGCAATCTTGGCTCACTGCAACCTCCGCCTCTTGGGCTCAGGCAATTCTCCTGCCTCAGCCTCCCAAGTAGCTGGGATTACAGGCACACACCACCATGCCCAGCTAATTTTTGTATTTTCAGTAGAGATGGGATTTCACCATGTTGGCCAGGCTGGTCTTGAACTCCTGACCTCAGGTAATCCACCTGCCTCGGCCTCCCAAAGTGCTGGGATTACAGGTGTGAGCCACTGCACCCAGTCAAGTTTTGCTTTTAAGATGGGAGTTATTCAGTATAGCATGATTCCATTTGTGTAGAAAGAAAATATGTATATACACACACACGCTTGCATATACTTCCCAGAAAACTGCAGAAAGGGTGCAGATGAAACACTTAGCAATAGGTACCATGGGGATTAGAACTGGGGGGAGGGTGTGAAGTAGAGAAGGGGAGACTTTTACTTTTCATGTTTCATGCTTCCATATTATTTGAGTTTCTACAACAAATTTGGAAGAATAAATAAGTGAGCAAGCAGGCAAGCAAATGAATATCCTTCCAATAGCTTTACACCGCCTTAGGACAAAATCCAAATTCCTTAATAAGAAAGCAAAGTCCTTTGTGATCTGGTTCCTACTTCAAGCTCCAGCCTCATCTCTCACCACTCCCTTCTCATGCTCAATCTATGCTCCAGTGTCACCAAACTTTCAGTTCCTCCAAGCTTTGCCAAATGCAGCTTCTTTTGCTTAGAACACTCCTCACTCCAATCTTCAGTTATATAGCCCTCAGGTCCCAGCTTAGTCACCTCTTCCTCCAGGAAGCCTTTCCTGGGACCTCCTCCCAACCCGTTTGGGTTAGGCACCACTCGGACACAATCCAGCCACTCTCTGAACTCCTCTATTGTGGGTTTGTCACATGGTGTCACAATGACTTGTAAAATCATCTGCCTCTCCCACTGGACTGAAGTTCCGCCAAGCAGTGACTGTGCCTGTCTGGGTCATTGTATCTCCAGCATCAAGCATTGTGTCTGACACGCAGTGTCCAATAAATATTTGTTAAATTGGACTTTTATTATTAAAAAAATATAACCACATTATGGACAATTTAGGAACGTAGAAAAGGGGAGGATTATAATTCTACCTTCCAAATACAACCACTATTTTCATCCAATGTTTTTGTTCCTCGTGTAGTTTTTTTCATAGCTGTATTCCCCCAAGCTGTGCCCTTCAGACACAGTCGTTTTGGTCAGGGAACATTTTGCTGCACTCTGCTGAAGCACGAGCCTTTTGTAAGCCAAAGTAAAGATCACTGTTTTTATCATCAAGTAATGTGTGTAACAGACCACAGACACCCCAGATCCTCTCTCATCACAAACCATCTCTCATTTCTGGGGACTTTGGCTTTGTATTTCATTAATTACTGGCTTGAACTCTTATGAGGATGCATTACTGTTATCCGGACCTCAGGTAATTCACCTGCCTCAGCCTCCCAAAGTGCTGGGATTACAGGTGTGAGCCATGGTTTTTAAAGAACCATGATTTGTTTACAGCCGGCTGGGTTAGCATCTAAAGAATTACTATTCTTTCCCCAAAAAAATCATTATAAAGGAGTGTTATATAACATATGTATTACTGAAGAAATTGTCAGGGATTTCACTGAGGATGTCCCTAACAGTGGTGGAGTCAAGAGTAAGGGCTCATACTGATGCCCACATAACCGACTTTTCTAATGAGGGTCTATAAAGAGAAACTCAAGAATTTGAGAGAAGAAACCCACATGAGATACAAGTGACTTCTTAGACCATCTCCGAGCCCTGCCTCATCCCTCATTGTCCCTCCATCCCTCACACCCACCTGAAATCAGAGGCTGGCAACTGGCAATGAGACTAAGGCACAGAAGTAGAGTCTCTGTTTTGCTCATTACTTGACAATTTTTTAAGCCACATTTTTAAAAAAGTAGTGTCAGAAGCTTTTGGCAATGTCAAAAAGACACTAAAGACAAACAAGTTATGTCCTAGCAACTGTGTGAAAACTTCATATACTCCTATAACCATCAGTCCATATAATTGTATTCCTTTTTAAGTATTTTGTTCAACATAGTAATATATTTTTTCATGTAGCTGAAGTCTTTACATTCATAATTTCAAACTGCACTGAGCTGATAGATCATATTTTACTGAAATCAATTACTCACTATAATAAATAATATTACAACATTATCAGGCTACAGGTTTTCTTTTCAGATATTAAATTACTTTCTTAGGATAGTGTCCCCAAAGTAGAATCTGTCAAATAATATTACTATCTTAACATCCTTTATATATATTCCAAAACTGTTTTTGAAAAGATGTCAGCCTAGGCAATATAGTGAGACTCTGTCTCTACAAAAAATAAAAAATTAGCCAGGCATGGCGGGGTGAACCTACAATCCCAGCTACTTCAGAAGCTAAGATGGGAGGATTGCTTGAATCTTGAAATTTGAGGTTGCAGTGAGCTATGATCACACCTATGCACTCCAGCCTGGGTGACAGAGCAAGATCCTGTTTCTAAAACAAAAAGCAAAAAAGACGTATACCAATTTACAACAGGTATATGTCTCAGGAGTTTGAGACCAGCCTGGCCAACATGGTGAAACCCCATCTCTACTAAAAATACAAAATTAGCCAGGTGTGGTGGCGCATGCCTGTGATCTCAGCTACTTGGGAGGCTGTGGCAGGAGAATCGTTTGAACCAGGGAGGCAGAGGCTGCAGGGAGTCAAGATCACACCACTGCACTTCGGCCTGGGCAACAAGAGCAAAATTCCATCTCAAGAAAAAAAAAAAAAAAAAGGTTTTGTTTACAGGCCATGTATGGTGGCTCATGCCTATAATCCTAGCACTTTGGGAGGCCAAGGCAGGAAGACGGCTTAAAGCCAGGAGTTTGAGACCAGCCTGGGCCAAAAAGAAAAACTCTATCTCTACAAAAAAATTTTTCAAATGAAAATTATTAGCTGGGCATGGTGGCATATGCCTGTAGTTCCAGCTACTCAGGAGGCTGGAATGGGAAGACTGCTTGAGCCCAGGAGTTCAAGGCTACAGTGAGCTATGATTGCACCACTGCACTCTCGCCTGGGTGACCGGGAGAAACTCTGTCTCTTTAAAAAAAAAAAAAAAGTTTCGTTATACTTGTTTACACCATACTGTAGTCTATTAAGTGTGCAATAGCATTATGCATGAAAAATATATACACTTTAATTTAAAAATACTTTATTGCTAAAAAATGCTAAGGATCATTTGAGCCTTCAGTGAGTTGTAATCTTTTTCCTAGTAGAGGGTCTTGCCTCGATGTTGAAGGCCACTGATTGATCAGTGGTGGTTGCTGAACGTTGGGGTGGCTGTGGAAATTTCTTAAAATATGACAACAACGAAGTTGGCTGTATCAACTTCCTTTCACAAAAGATTTCTCTGTACCATGTGATGCTGCTGGGTAACACTTTTACCCACAATAGAACTTGTTTCAAAATTGGAGTCAATAGGTCTGTAATCCCAGCACTTTAAGAGGCCAAGGCAGGTGGAACACTTAAGGCCAGGAGTTCAAGACCAGCCTGGCCAATATGATGAAACCCCATCTCTACTAAAAATACAAAAATTAGCCAGGCATGGTAGCATGTGCCTGTAATCCTAGCTACTCGGGAGGCTGAGGCAGGAGAATCGCTTGAACCCATGAGGCAGAGGTTGCAGTAGGCTGAGATTGCACCACTGCACTCCAGCATGGGTGACAGAGCGAGACTATTTAAAAAAAAAAAATTGGAGTCAATCCTCTCGAACTCTACTTCTGATTTAATAAACTTATGTGGTATTTTAAAATCCTTTGTCATTTTAACAATGGTCACAACATCTTCACCAGGAGTAGATTCCATCTCTAGAAACCACTTTCTTTGCTCATCCACAAGAAGCAATTCCTCATCCATTCAAGTTTTATGAGATTGCAGCAATTCAGTCACATCTTCAGGCTCCACTTCTAATTCTAGATCTCTGGCTATTTCAATCACATCTGCAGTTACTTCTTCCACTGAAGTCTTGAACCCCTCAAAGTCATCCAATAGGGTTAGAAGCAACTTCATCTAAACTCTTGCTCATGTTGATAAGGTTGTGACCTCTTCCTATGAACCATGAATGTTCTTAATGGCATCTAAAAGAGTGAACCCTTTCCAGAAGGTTTTCAGTATGCTTTGTGCCATGATCCATCAGCGGAATCACTATCTATGACAGCTATATATAGCCTTATGAAATGTATTTCTTAAATAATAAGACTTGAAAGTTGAAATTACTTCTTGATCCATGGGCTGCAGAACAGATGTTGTGTTAGAAGGCATAAAAACACTAATCTTCTACATTTCCATCAGAGCTCCTGGATGATTAGGTGCACTGTCAACGAGGAGTGATATTTTATTTATTTATTTATTTATTTATTTTTTGAGACGGAGTTTCACTCTTGTTGCCCTGGCTGGAGTACAATGGCACAATTTTGGCTCACTGCAACCTCTGCCTCCCGGGTTCAAGCAATTCTCCTGCCTCAGCTTCCCGAGTAGCTGGGATTACAGGCATGCGCCACCATGCCCGGCTAATTTTTTCTATTTTTAGTGGAGACAGGGTTTCACCATGTTGGCCAGGCTGTTCTTGAACTGCTGACCTCAGGTGATCCACCTGCCTCGGCCTCCCAAAGTGCTGGGATTATAGATGTGAGCCACCAAGCCCAGCCAGGAGTAATATTTTAGTTGTTTGTTTTTTATCAACCAAGAAAAAGCACTGAATTGAGCAGCAATATTTTGAAAGGAATCTTTTTTTTCTGAGCAGTAGGTCTCAACAGTGGGCTTAAAATGTACAGTAAACCATGCTGCAAACACATGTACCGTCATCCTGGCTTTGTTATTCCACTCATACTGCACAGGCAGGGTATATTTAACATAATTCTTAAGGGCCCTAGGATTTTAGGAATGGTAATAAGCGTTGATTTTGAAACCACTTCAAGTCACCAGCTGCATTAGTCTCTAACAACAGAATCGAAGTGTCCTTTGGAGCTTTGAAGCCAGGAATTAAAGTCCTAGATGGCATCTGCTTCCAAAAGAGACTGTTTCATCTATGTTGAAAATGCAGGCTGGGCACGGTGGCTCACACCTGCAATCCCAGCACTTCAGGAGGCCAAGAAGGGTGAGTTACCTGAGGTCAGGAGTTCGAGACCAGCCTGACCAACATAGTGAAACCCTGTCTCTGCTAAAAATACAAAAATTAGCCAGGTGTGGTGGCGGGCACCTATAATCCCAGCTACTCGGGAGGCTGAAGCAAGAGAATTGCTTGAACTTGGGAGGTGGATGTTGCAGTGAGCTGAGATTGTGTCATTGCACTCCAGCCTGGGCGACAGAGCAAGACTCTGTCTCAAAAAAAAAAAAAAAAGAAAGGAGGAAAGAAAATCTGTGGCTGAGTGCAGCCACATTCAGCAATGACCTCAGCCAGATCTTCTGGATAACTTGCTGCAGCTTCTATAGCAGCAATTCTTGCTTCATCCTGTACTTTTATGTTATGGAGTTGGCTTCTTCTTCCTCTTTTTTTTTTTTAATAGACAGAGTCTTGGTCTGTCACCCAGGCTGGAGCGCAGTGGCATGATCTCGGCTCACTGCAACCTCCGCCTCCTGGGTTCAAGCAATTCTCCTGCCTCAGCCTTCCAAGTAGCTACGACTACAGGCACACGCCACCATGCCCGGCTAATTTTTGTATTTTTAGTAGAGACGGGGTTTCACAATATTGGCCAGGATGGTCTCAAACTCCTGACCTCAAGCGATCCACCCACCTCAGCCTCCCAAAATGCTGGGATTACAGGCATGAGAAACTGCGCCTGGGTGAGATGGCTTCTTTCCTTAAACCTCATGAACCAACCTCTGCTAGCTTCAAACTTTTCTTTTGTAGCTTCCTCAGCTCTCTCAGTCTTCATAGAACAGAAGAGAGTTAGGCTTTGCTCTAGATTAGCCTTTGGCTTAAGGGAATGTGGTGGCTAGTTTGATCTATCCAGACCACTTAAACTTTCTCCTTATGAGCAAATAAGGCTGTTTCACTTTCTTATCATTTGTGTGTTCATCAGAATAGCACTTAATTTCCTTCAAGAATTTGTCCTACCTTGGCTTTCAACATGCTTTCCTCACTAACCTCAATCATTTGCAGCTTTTTATTTAAAGTGAAAGACATGCAACTCTTTCTTTCACTTGAACACTTAGAGGCCTAATTTCAATATTGTTATCTCAGGGAAGAGGGAGGCCCAAGGAGGGGGAGAGACACAGGAATGGCTGATCAATGGAGCAGTCAGAAGACACACAACATTTCTCTTGATTAAGTTCACCAACTTATGTGGGTGATGTTCACGGGACCCCAAAACAATTACAACAGTAATACCAAAGATCACCGATTACAGATCACCATAACAGATATAATAATGAAAAAGTTTGAAATGTTGCAAGATTTACTGAAATGCAACAGAGACATGAAGTGAGCCACATGCCATTGAAAAATGGCACCAATAGACTTGCTCCATGCAGGTTTGCCACAAACCTTCAACTTGTAAAAAGCACAGTATCTGTAAAGCAGAAAAAGCAAACCACAATAAAACAAGGTGTGCCTGTATACAAGAGCACATTGCATTACCCACTCACCAACACTGAATATCACTCAAAAATTTGTCCTAATTTAATGGGTAAAAAGGCTAAGTTATGACTTTGATAATTAGCCTTTATTGGCATTTATATGCTCTAGGTACAGTGTTAGATGCTTCGTATACATTATCTCGTTTAATCCTCACGACACTGTGAAGTGCTACTATTATTATCCCCACCTTACAGATTAAGAAACCGAGACTTAGAAAGCTTACATTGGCCAGGCACGGTGGCTCACACCTGTAATCCCAGTACTTTGGGAGGCTGAGGTGGGTGGATCACATGAGGTCGGGAGTTCAAGACCAGCCTGACCAACATGGAGAAACCCCGTCTCTACTAAAAACTAAAAATACAAAATTAGCCAGCGTGGTCACGCATGTCTGTAATCCCACCTACTCGGGAGGCTGTGGCAGGAGAATCGCTTGAACCCGGGAGGCAGAGGTTGCGGTGAGCCAAGATCGCATCATTGCACTCCAGCCTGGGCAAAAAGAGCGAAACTCCATGAAAGGAAGGAAGGAAGGAAGGAAGGAAGGAAGGAAGGAAGGAAGGAAGGAAGGAAGGTTGGTTAAATTGTTGAACACAAGGCTTGTAATGGGTAGAGACAGGCTTTGAACCCAAGCTGCCTTACTCTTGAGTCCATACTCTATCCATTCCTGCCTATGGTATCTTATTGTTTTAATCTATGTGTCATTGCTTACAGTGACAACAAATACACTCCCAGATGTTTCTTTGCTGGTTAGGTTTCCTATTTTCCTGATTTTTCTAACCATGGCAAATTCGAAGGGTCAGAGGTAGCTTAGAAGGTGGAGTTTTAGAGATAATGGTTTGACCATGGGCAAGACAGAACTGGTAGTAAAAGCAGATGAGAAGCAAGAAAAGAACATCAGTAGTAACTGCAGGGACTAGTCTCGGGGCCTTTGTAGCCTTTACTGGATGGCGGGGATGATAAGTTCCACAAGCTAAAAAGGCCAGACGTAGGGCAGAGAAAATAATAGAGGAGGGTCTAGCTTCTGGTCCTCTGAACAGCTTCAGTAGTTCCTAAGAACTATTTGCACACTTTTTTCTTGTGTGTGAAGGCAAAGGAGCAGCTACTACCAACCCTAATGATGTCATAGGGTTAACAAATAAAGAAATCAGGAAATGGTTTCTTTTTTCTTCAAGAAATACTCTGGTTGAATTTCCTCAACAGGTTTCAACTTCTGCATTCAGAGAAAATAGTTCTGTTTTAGTAATTCAACAAAAGAACAAAACACTGCCAGACGGAGAGCTGGTAGTTACTAGCATGAACTCCAGAATCAAAGAGCCTGGACTTCAAATCTGGCTTTACCATTTTTGGCTGTGTGATGCAGGGAAATTGTTTAATCCTTCTTGGCCTCCACAGTCTTCCCTGTAAATAGAGACAGTAATAGTACCTACTCTGGGGTTACTAGAAAGAGTAAATGATGTATGCAAAGCCTTAGTTAGCCATATTGCCTGATGCACAGCAAAAGTTCAGTACATTTTTGCCAGCAGTGGTCATGATAGAAGTGGTAGAAACACTAATATAAATGGCAGTAATTTTGTTTGAAAAAAAGGAAGGAAGGCGGGAAGAAAGAAGGAAAGAAGGAAATTATTTTTTCTATTTCATTCAAAAACAAAGGGCAAATATGTTGATCAAATGGTATGAAGTGGCTGAAAACCTTCAGACTAAGTAAGCAGAACTTGATTCCTGTACCAGCCACTTACTAGCTGAGTAATGTTGAGCTTATTACCTATTTTTTCTTGCTCTCGGTTGGCTAACCTTAAAGGGGGAGTGTTGCATGAAAAGTGCTGCACAGTCCATTGTGGTTCTAACAGTTCTGATGCCTCTGCCAGGGCAAGTAGTGCAATACAGAAAGATGTCTGTGCCAAGTGAGAGCCATCCGCTCTTAGCAGAAGCTCGGTCAAGGCTATGCTTTGCTCCTCATTAAATGTTTCCCCTTTAATATTCTTCTCTCTGCTTCACTTGAGTTATATTTTAACTCAAGTTTATAAGCTGTTTTAAAACTTTTATTTTTATTTTATTTATTTATTTATTTTTTGATACAGAGTCTCACTCTGTTGCCCAGGCTAGAGTGCAGTGGAGTGATCTCTACTCACTGCAACTTCCGCCTCCTCGGTTCAAGTGACTCTCCTGCCTCAGCCTCCCGAGTAGCTGGGATTACCGGCATTGACCACTCCATCTGGCTAATTTTTGTATTTTTAGTAGAGACAGGGTTTCTCAATGTTTGCCAGGCTGGTCTCAAACTTCTGACCTCAAGTGATCCACCCGCCTCAGTCCCCCAAAGTGCTGGGATCACAAGCATGAGCCATCATGCCCAGCCCGTTTAACTTTTAAATGCTAGTTCTAAATTAATTAATTCTAAATGAACCCCCAAAACTTCTCGGAGACTAAGCAGGCACGGACTGGTAGAAAGCGTCTCTTGAGCAATTTCATGAATGACAAGATGGCAGAGTAAGAGATACTGAGAGAGACAAGCACAGGCATGGCCAGTGCCCAGCAGCCACTGCAAGGGGGAGTCACAGCCTGTGTGGCCTGGTCTGCTCCTGTTGGCCCACCCCATTCTCACTGGCTTTCTGACCTTTTGGCTCCTGCTTGCGGCTGGTCTGGCTTGCCCCCTCCAGTGTCAACTGACCCCCCTCTTCCATCCAGGCTGTTGCCTCCCAACTCTGGCCTTTCTTAACCAAGTTCCAGGGTGAGACTCTCAGTTCAGGCGAGTTAAGACTCACCCAAGGAGAGACTTCCTAGGTAGTCAAGGGAAGGAAAGTTTGATTTGGACTAAAAGTAGTAAAAAGATTTCTCAGGTGGCCGGGGGAGTGAATAAGCAGAATATATTCTAAGACGAGAAACCAAACAAAAGTGGTACTAAACTGGGCATACGATGGTTCCAGGGGACTAGAAAACGGCATCTATCCAGACTGAGAAAAACAAAGCATAAAACACGTTTCCTAGGTAAAAACAAATTGGTTTTGTGTGTCTACACTTGCTTAATTTGCAAAATAAGAGCAAAGGCCCGAGAAAGATAAACCTGGGTTTGAGTCCTGACTGTCACTTGCCACTTGTGTGACCTTGGGCATGTTACTGTTTAAGCATCAGTAAAATGGGGATGATAATGCCTATCTCAGAAGGTTGATGTGGGAACTCAATGATATCAGGTACACAAAGCATAGCTCAGGTACTCAGTAACTGTTCGTGTTCTTCTCCTCACCACTCTTAAACTTCTGTCATATGTCTGTGGGGAAGTGTTTTCCCTTGCACTCAAGAAAACTAGCATAAAAGAAAGTGGTTACCCTGGTGACTTCCTCCAAAGAGGTTACAGGAGAAAATGGGGAGGGGAGAGCTTTCTCAAGTCACATCCCCAAGAGGCTGGCGGTAGAGACAGAAAAGAGCTAAGACATTAGCTATCTGTTGTCGAGGCAGCCAACTGCTTATAGCCAGGGAGTTCCTTGAGGCACTGACTATTGCCTTTGAGCAGGGAAATAATTACAATGTCTGGCATCAAGGCCTGTGTAGAATCTTCCACAGAT
Source organism: Homo sapiens (assembly GCF_000001405.40). Classification (NCBI taxonomy): domain Eukaryota; kingdom Metazoa; phylum Chordata; class Mammalia; order Primates; family Hominidae; genus Homo; species Homo sapiens. The sequence continues at coordinate 90,561,919 of NC_000015.10, read as the reverse complement.
GTTATTCTGTCTCTTGGAAAATATCCACAGTAATAATAAACAACTAAAGCTTCATTTTAAGTTTAAAGTATAAAAACTAGCTGTTTCATAACATAGGGACCAATTCTAACTCCTGACTATTGTGAAATTTTGTAGGGAATTGGAACAAAACTTTGGCTGGTTCTACAGCCAAAACATGTAGGGACTTAAAATTCTAGTTAGAGATAATCACTACTTTAAATGTAGTGCCTCTTCTCCCTCTTTTGTGAGCTGGCAGTCAGAGGCTGGATTAAGGAGATAGGTAAGAGGATTGCTTCATACTAATATGATTGAATTTAACACAGATTCAAAATGCGAGGGAATATAGAGACCTAGCTTCTTTCCTGGTCCTACACTGCCACCGCCCACATGTGCCTTCTCTGTGGGTATTCTTTCTGCCTCTCTTGAAAGCTGCACTGAGTCAAGGCACTAACATACAGCCTGGTTGACTTCAGGACAGGCCGATTAAGACTTCAGCAAAAGTATTTTTATCTAGTCTGTGAAGAATTAGTAGGATGCAACTAGCCTGTATGACATTTAAGAAGCTTCATATAATGAACAGCAAAAGCTTAGTTCTCTAGGCCTAGGTAGGATACCTGCAAAGAAAGAGGCAAATGGTACCAACAATCTATTGAAGTCAAATTAGAAGGCTGCAACAGGGAGTTTATACTAGGAACTTTGCAATATGTATTGAACAACAACTGTGCTGGGCATTATTCTAAGGATTTACATGCATTACCTAACTTAATCCTCCCAATAGCTCTATCTTAGGTACTATTAGTAGCCACATCTTGCAGATGAGTGAGCTGAGACACAGAGAGACTAACGATCTTGTCTACGATCCAGTGCTAGTTAGTGGTGGAAGTGGTCACCAGATCCCCACTCTAGGGACTGCACTTGTGACCATCAACATGAAAATTTTGTTTATTTTGACATATTGGATGGCAGGTCATAGAGACTTATGACAGAGACTTACTAAATTGCTTGATCAAGAAAAGGGCTTGTATGGTATTAAATTTTGTTGACCAATTTTGTTGAACCCCCCAAGCGGCTTACAAGACAGTTCTTATGTGAGACATCTCCACAAACTAAACCTGAACCTGCAGGGTGCAATCAGGAGCCTTGGTAATTCATTCCAGGACTTTTATTGTTCAGACTCAAACAGGACCTGCAGCTCCAGCAGGCAGCATCTGGGCGCTGCTCTCATTCCCTATTGTTCTGACAGCCAGACCTTTGAGGATCTGCAGAGCTGGTGGCCTGATAGGAAGTCACACGATTTCAGAAGAGCCTGCCAGGTTTTGACCATATGAATTATGTGTCTAGTTTCTGAGGCTGCCTCTGGAGTTAACCCCACAGGGGATATCTGAAGTATTCATCGTCTGCCCCAATCATGCTGCGTAGCTGAGGAGGGTGGAGTAAGCTAAAAGCGAATTCTGCCCACAGGGAAGACAACGGATGCCTGGTAACTTGGAGCTAAGCCCACAAATTCCAGAACTCTTTTGAAATTTCTGATTATGTGGCCAAAGTCTGGGAAATGTTTGGGTCTACTTGGCTCTGAGAAAACACATTCTCTTTCAAGAATCTGGTAGAACCAAGGATGAGAGCCATCATCAGTGACGTAAACTGGAAGTCAGGATTTAGAGGTGTCCTGACTGAATGGACATCCCACAGAGTTCCAGCCCTCAACAAATACTAGCTGAATGAATAAATCCCTATTCTCAAGTATTTGATCAACCACCAAACCTGGAGCGCTAACTAGATGAATAAAAGAAGGTTCCAAAAAACATCATCAAACAACAAATGATGGTATGAGGAAAGCTATTTATAACATATAAGACAACATGTATCTCTAACATTCGAAGAACTCCTACAATTTGATAAGAAAAAAAACTGAGAAAAGGTTATGAACAGGAAATTCACAGAAGAGGAAACCAGAATGGCCGGTAAATACATGAAAAAGGCCAGACATGGTGGCTCACGCCTGTAATCCCAACACTTTGGGAGGCCAAGGCGGATGGATCACTTGCACCCAGGAGTTCGAGACCAACGTGGCCATCAAGGCAAAACCCCATCTCTACCAAAAACATAAAAATGAGCCGGGTAACAAAAATTAGCCGAGTGTGGTGGCATGCGCCGGTGGTGCCAGCTACTTGGGGGGCTGAGGTGGGAGGATCACTTGAGCCCGGGAAGCAGAGGTTGCAGTGAGCCAAGATCACACTATTGCACACCAGCCTGACTGACAGAGTGAGACCTTGCCTCGAAAAACAAACAAACAAACAAACAACCACAAAATGAAAAAATTTCAACTTTTCCAGCAATCAGGAAAATATACATGAAAATAATGCACCCATGATCTCATCTAATTCTTCCAATAACCTGGGAGGTAGAATAATTATTTCATAAGTAAGGATATTAAAGTTTAGAGAGGTTTTAATTCAACCAGTAATTGACAGAGCTGCAACTTGAACATAAATCTGGATAATAATAAAGTCTGTGTTTATTCTAACTTGCTGCTCTAGTGGAATACTTGTGTGGTGGCTCAGGTCCTTTTGGGCAAGTCGCCTAACCTCTTAAGACTCAGTTTTCTCATCTGTAAAATGGGAGTCATAAAAGTACCATCACATAAGGTTACTGTAAGAATTCAATGAGATAATACATACAAAATTCTCAGAATAGTGCTAATACTCAACTATTTGATTCATTCATTCAAGAAATATTTATGGAACTCATACCCTGGCCAGGTACTGCTCTAGACTTTGGAAATACAGCAGTGAACCAAAGCACCCTTGCTCCCAGGGGGCTTGGAGGAGACAGAATATAAAAGAGATAAATAAATAAAAATACATAGTAGGACAGGCGCGGTGGCTCACACCTGCAATCCCAGCACTTTGGGAAGCCAAGGCGGGCGGATCACTTGAGGCCAGGAGATCGAGACCATCCTGGCCAACATGGTGAAATCCTGTCTCTACTAAAAATACAAAAATTAGCCGGGCGTGGTAGCACACGTCTGTAGTCCCAGCTACTCAGGAGGCTGAGGCAGGAGAATGGCTTGAACCCGGGAGGTGGAGGTTGCAGTGAGCCGAGATCACGCCACTGCACGCCAGCCTGGGCGACAGAGCAAGACTCAGTCTCAAAAAAAAATAAATGTGTATATGTATATATATATATAGTATACTGGATCGTGATAAGTGCTGAGGAGAAAAATCAAGCAGGAAAGACGGTGGAGGGAATTTAGATTTTAGAGAGGCAAGGCCTCCCTGACAGGTGATATTTGAGTGAGGAGCTGAGGGAAGTGAGGAAGTAAGCCATTCACATATCTGGAAAAAAAGCATTCCTGGTAGAGAAATCCTAAGCAAGGTTCAAGGAACAGAGAAAAAGGCCAGTGTGGCTGGCATGGAGTGAGTGAGGAGGGTGTTGGAGAGATGTGTGGTAAGCAGCTAAGAGCAGAGATGATGGGGGCCCTACAGGGACTGCCTGCACTTTGCACTTTGCCTTTACCCTGAGAGAAACGGGAAGCCGCTGGAGGACTGTGGGGAGTGAGATAATCTGGCTCATATTTTAAAAGGATCAGTCAGGTGGCAGTGTTGAGAATATACTGAAAGAAGACAGGACTCCTCTGCCAGAAGCCCAGTCAGGAGGCTCTTGCAAGAATCCAGGGACAAAATGATAACGGGTCCGACCAGGGTAGTCAGATTCTAGATACATTTTTAAAACAGAACCAAGAATTTGCTGAAGGCTTAGCTGTGGGATGTGAGACAATGCAAGGAGTTATGGGTGACTCCAAGGTTTTGGCACAAGTAACTGGAAGAACTAAGTTGTCATTTACAGAGAAAAGTGTCCAGAACAGAGGTTTCCTGACTACAGGCACTGCAGAACAACGAGAAATTTAAGGTACTCTGGAATCCAATCAGAAAGGCAAGTGGGGTGGTTGACATCAGGAAAGTGCATTGGTCACTGTGTTTCAGGGCACGATTTCAATCCCTGGGAGGCAGGCTGATAAAAACAAGGCACAGGGAAACGAGGCAGGTTACCATGGGATTCTGGCACGCAGGAGCCAGACAAGAGTCCAGTTATCAGAGCTGAGGCACAAGGCCAGCAATGGTGACTTGAGGCCAAATTACAGAGTGTGAGGCAGCCTCAGTCCCTCTGCCTCAGTTCAGGCTGGGTCCTAGAGATGGGTGAGAGGCTGGCTAGTCAGGTTCAAGTGGCCCCAGGAGACCCAGGGGAAAAGGCTACAGAGCCAGAAACCAGACAGACCCGGCTCTGTCTGTACTCCACCATATTACCAGGGTGATCTCAGCATATTACAGGCTGATTCTATGCCTTTAACAGATCACTATGTGAAAGGTCCAGATGTGCAGATGTACGAGCCCCTCAAAGAGGGGCACCATTTGTACGTGTCTGAGACCTTAGTTGGGGGCTGGGGAAGCCAGGCCCTGAGATAGGAAGGGGGCGTGCTAGTTTGTCACAAGACTGTAAAACAAAAGCAAGAAACGTTCTGGGGACCAGATGGGAGACAAATGCAGCTACCACCACCTCCCTGTCAGCAAAGGGCGAGAAAGCAACCTCAAGGGGAACAGCTCAAAATGTGGGGGAGAGAGAAGCTGCTCCTAGACTGTGAGGGGGTGCTGGCAGTGTAGGCGGTCCTACCTAGAAGTACAAGGTTAAGGAAAGATGCTAAGCTAAACTTGCGATTGTTCTAAGCTAAATTTGCTAAGTTTGTTCTCAGACTCCCAGACACTGATTAAAATTGTTTTCTACACATTTTCTTCCCTAGCTAGAGTATAAGACATTCCTGCCAAAGAGAACTTTTAAAATTAAAGCAAGTAAGGGGCAAACATCTGTAGAAGCTCGGTCTGATAATTTGATTAATGTATTTATTTTTCATATTGTATTATAAAGATATATATATATATATATATATATATATATATATATATATAGCCATGTGGTGATTATAAAGAGAATAATTCCAATGGTTGGCACTAAAAATGAAATTAGATTTATTTTCTAGAAATGACAAGTCAATACATACTATTAAGCAATTAGAAAGTAGTCATTGAAAAGTAGTAGACCGTTGTAAACCTTCTATTTTAATATGAAAGTATCTATATCAACTCTCAGTATTTTCTTGAGTCATATTTCTCTGACGGCTGTAGATTTTCTGTGCATAATTGTATACCATAAATTAATGGCCCTTTTGATTTTCACAAAAGCTGTCCATTTTCAAACAAATTAAGTTTTTAAGTCAATATATAAGACGTATTACACAGAGATCCATGAAGCCCCAATGAAACATTTGCTAGGCAGCCTTGGTCACTCACCAGCCTCTAGGCCCGTGTGATTAAATTTTGTGCTTCAGTAAATATGCAAACTACTTTATGTCATGAACTTTGGAGTCATTCTTGAACAGTCAACATACACTTGGAACGTCAGATCTGAAAAAGCTAAGGATCTCCTATCCTTAAGGTAATAAATATCCAAATCCATCAGTGTCAGAAGTTTTGCTAAGGTAAATATCATTGCCAAAAAGTAATGAAACCACATCTATTAACAACGGTGGCGATATTTCTACCCTTTGGTTTCAGAATTCTACTTGTGGAAATCTATGATCAGAAATATGGATGACTCATACATAAAAGTGTTTATTACCATATTATTCATTAAAAAAATCAGAATCAACTAAAATGTCCGTTGGGGAAATGCTTGTAAATTATAAGTCATATATGATGAAATATTATTTAGCTATTAAAATTATACTTATAAAGTATTTTAATGACATAGGGAAATAATTATTATATAATGGTTGAAAAAGAAAAAAATAATATAAATATGAAGACTGATATCACCTGTATAAAGATACATGAAAAATAAACTTAACATTAAAATGGTAATCTCTAGTTGATGAAAAATGGCTCATTTTTTCTGTTCCTTTTTAATGTTTACATATTTTCCAAATTTTACACAATGAGCACATATTACTTTTATAATGAAAAACAAAGAATTAAGGAACAAGCTATAAACAAATGCAATGTATTTTCCTGAACGTAAAGGTTTAAAAATGGAAGCTAAAAAAGAAAAAGAGGCCAGGCATGGTGGCTCACACCTGAAATCCCAGCACTTTGGGGAGGCCAAGGCAGGCAGATCACTTGAGGTCAGGAGTTTCGGACCAGCCTGCCAACATGGTGACACCCCGTCTCTATTAAAAATACAAAAATTAACTGGGCATGGTGGTGCATGCCTATAATCCCAGCTACTCAGGATGCTGAAGCAGGAGAATCACTTGAACTTGGGAGGCAGAGGTTGCGGTTAGCCAAGATCATGCCACTGCACTCCAGCCTGGGTGACAGAGCAAGACTCCATCTCAAAAATAAAAAATAAAAGAAAAAGAAAAAAGAAAAAGAACACTAGAGTTAACGTCTTTGTGCTATAGTTATTGTATATCCTCCTAGTCTATCATACTTGATTATGAGCTTCTTAAACTGATAGTGTCTGCATTTTCTTCATAAACCAGATAATATCTTACTCATAAAGGCACTCGATAAATACTTATTAATGAATAAATTCAGGGCAAGTTACAGTAGCTGCTTAATATAATAAAAAGTGATTTTAATAGTCAGAACAAATGTTTCCTGGCATCTATATATGTTTAGGCAAGATAAGAACAGTTGGGCTTTGGGGGATAATGATGCTTTGGTCTGGGCAATCAACTAAAAAGGGGGGCTGCCACATGGAAGAGCACGAGTGGTACATTCTGCAGCAGAAATGACAGCACCCTAAGGCCAGCAACTCTCAAATTTGTTTTCTGCCCCCACACAAAGCACTCACCTTTCACATGTGCATCCCCCACCCGCATATCCCAACAGCTGTAGATATAGCCAGAGTATGGCCAATTGTAGAAGGGCAGGGCTGTCTCCTCCAGGCACTCTCCCACTTCTCAAAATAGAAGTGAACAGCAATATTGTCAGGGTGGGGATACCCTTGATTTAACTCTAATTATTTTAAAAAATAATTCCCAACCATTGGTACTTTTAGTAAGAAACATAACTTGTAACCCAACCCATAGTGGAGTACAACACTCTGGTGTGGGAGGATCCCTGGTTGAGAGCTGCTGCAGTAACAACAAAACCATAAGCATTTACTGCACCAGGCGCTTCACACGTATTATCTGATTTCATCCTCACCAGGTCCTGTGAAGTAGGTACTAGTAACACTCCTACTTTACAAATATAGAAATGGGACTTGGACTTAAATAGGTAAGCAGCAGTGCTAGAACTCAAAGCCAGGCTGACGCCCAAGCCTACGCTGTAGTTGTGGCAATAGAGGTGTCAGCGATGGCAGAAGGAATTACAGCAGTGGAAGCAGGAGCAATAGGAACAATTATAAGAGGAAATACCTTGGCTGGTCATGGTGGCTCATGCCTGTAATCCCAGCACTTTGGGAGGCCGAGGCGGGAGGATTACCTGAGGTCAGGAGATCGAGACTAGCCTGGCCAACATGGTGAAACCCCGTCTCTACTAAAAATACAAAAATTAGCTGGGCTTGGTGGCACACACCTGTAATTCCAGCTGCTCGGAAGGCTGAGGCAGAGAACTGCTTGAGCCCAGGAGAGGGAGGTTGCAGTGAGCCAAGATCACGCCACTGCACTCCAGCCTGGGTGACAGAGCAAGACTCTGACTCAAAAAAAAAAAAAAAGAGGAAACACCTCTAATGTGCTTGCCTTGTGCCAACCACTGTTCTAAGGGTGTTATGTATAACAACTCATTTATTCTTCTCCACAAAACTCTGATATTGGCATTAGAACTATGCCCATTTTACAGGTGAGAAAAATGAGGCAAAGACATGCTAAGTGGTTTGCCCAAGGTCACACAGCTAGAAAGTGGCAGAGGCCACATTTGGATTCAGAGTATGACCCTTTTGCCCATCACACTATGCAGCCTCTGTACTGCCCTAAAGCTTCTGCCATAATATTTTAAGGCAAAGTATATGTTGTCACTTTAGTACTTGTCGTATTTCTTTTCAAGTAGATCATTGGTTTTATCCCATGGATAGACTTCTCAGGAAACATTCCCATCTCTTCCAACTTTACTGGCATGAAAATTTTCGATTAATGGAATCTGATTCAGTCTTTTAAAACATTACTTGGAGGGGTATTTTAAAGATCTCAAGTATCCATGCTATTGCTGCCCCTCCACTGCATGAACAATTGAGAGCACGTAGGAGGCAGAATGAAAATGGCAATATTCCAGTTCTCTTGCTCAAGTTCTCATGGGTACAGATGTTCCTAATTCAGTGTGTGGGACCAACGTTTCCCCGCCCCTTCTATAATTTCAAACAAAGGCTTTATCCCAGATGATTAGAGATTCATGAGTTATCTACTTTTCTCTCTCATTCTATAAGTCTTCTATTCAACATGTACGGCTAGATAAAAAGGAAGGGAAAAATGATTCGAATATGGATTAAAAATACGACAACCATATTCTTGGTCACAGCTCCTATTTCGGGACAGATGCACATTCCAAAACTATTAAGTAACCCCCTAACTCTCTGTGCTTCTCACTATTTCCTTAGGCAGAATAGAAGGACATGCTGCTGGAAGTCAAAATCAAAGGCAAACCAGTGAGCACATCACACACAGACACAGTACAAAAATCAGAGTTGCAAAGTGCATGTAGTTCAGGAGGTACGAACTCTTAAAAAGAATTCAGACAAGGTCAGAAAAATGTCAATCTCTGAAAAAGAAAATAAGAAACAACATAAAATAGATGATATTAGTAATCAGTGAACATCTTTCCCGGAAATAATTCATGCTAAAATAATTTATAAATGTGGCCTTCTAAATCTCATGCAGAAGCCCAAGGTCACTGCCCTGCCTCATTACATCTAACAGTATTTGGATAAAAGCAGATTGTCTCAGGGCTGGCAGAGAGCATGCTGTACCAAGAGTAGGGCTGGCTAAGGGAAAAAAATATAACATTATAACCTTGGGAACAAAATTCCCTCTCACATTTAAGTTCTGAGCAAAGAACTATGCCACAAACTATGAAGAATGACTACACATGATCAGAATTTAGTTAGATGCTTGGGAAGGAATCAGTTTTCTTTACACCCCAGTTCCCTTAACACAATCCAGCTCCAAAACCCCCTTGGTCAAGGCCTCATGCCTCCCCTTAGCTCAGTTTATCCTATGGATAATTACTATTATAATCCCCACTTCACATACAAAAAACTAGACTGAGATAGTTGAGGAAATGCCCAAATCATAGATTAAAAGAGTGGCAGAACCAGGACTCAAACCAGGTTTGCCTGCTGCCCGAGTCATCTTTATCACACCACAGCTCATCCTAGGGAGTACGAAAGGAAGCAGAGTTTCCACAAGTCACTGCCCATACTCCAGGAGACAAAAGAACTAGATGAGGGGTGATCAGGAATAATGAGCAGCTGGGAGCTGACCACAGAAACAGAGACAGAATTTCTGAAGACCATTAGATGACACAAGAAGCTACTTTGAGATCTCTGTGGAGACTCTCTGATCTGTGACTCAAGACAGAACCATTTTGGAATAGTCTCTGAGATTCCAAGGTCATTTGTGGCTTAAGGCAGAGCAGCCTTCTTCACCGAGGGGCAGTGGCCAGATGCCGGCTGCTCGGGCCGCAGTACTGGACACAGAGTTGATGGTGTTAAACGAGGACTAACTGGGCTGCTGACTTCTGTGGAAGGGCCAATTTCTTCGTTTCTATGTGTCCTGTGCCTAATACAGACCTGCTGCCACAGCAGGCGCTCGGGAAACATTTGCCAATTCAATTATTTATTAATCAATTAATGAAGAGTGAAAAAGAAAAGTAGTTAACACCACTCTTGGAGTAGGGACGGAGCAGGAGACCACGACACCCAACACCTTCACAGGGTCAGTCTGTTCCTTTAGAAGACATTTGTGTGTGTGTGTGTGTGTGTGTGCGTGTGTGTGTGTGCGTGTGTGTAATGTAATGTAATGTAAGGGCGCGCCTTACCACACACCCTTTCAGAGGAACCGCCACATTTTACAGTGAGAAATTCTACCAAGCGGAGATCTGATTTTGGGGGCATCCTTTTTTGAAATGCTTGTACTCAGAGCAGTTAAGTGGAGGTTCAAAGTTTTTGATATGAACTTAATCAGGGTGCTTTGCTTACCACTAAAAGAAACACTTCAACCAAGGCATAGAAATCTGATTGGCTGATAAAGACGAGCAGGGAAGGGAAGATCACCTTAAAGCCCTGGGCTCTTAAGGGAAGGTGAGGACTTAATCCGGTGCTGAAACTGGGACCTAGAACGCAGCATTAGAATGCCTACCTCCTCCAAGAACTCTCCCACTTCTCAAAATAGGGGGCAGTGCTGTCCAGTTCGGTGGCCACCAGCCACATGTGCCTCCTGAGCACTTGAAATGTGGCTTAATGCAACCAAGGAACTGAATTTTTAATTGTATTTAATCTTAATTAAATACAATTAATTAATGGAAATAGCCACAAATGACTAGTGACTAACATATTGGACAGCAGCGGTGAGGGGGAGACAGTAAGAAGCACAGAAAAAAAGAGGTAGAAAGTGATAAAGACAAACTTCCTACTTCACAATTGTTCCTAAGCACGATTTGTATTACTATACTACTGACTTTTGCTTAGTACTTTAGTTTCCAGAGATATGCATTTATTCCGCATTCATTAGATCCTTATGAACAACTCTATCAAGTAACCGTCATTATCATCACTTCTAGATGAGTCAGAGAATTCTGTGATTTACCTAAGGAGACTCAGTCGGGAGGAGTCTAATTATGTAACCCCAACACTGTCCAGATGGCATGAAGAAACTTCACCTCTTCCTTTCAGAAAAAGGAAGTAGAGGACAGATCGGTGCTTTGTTCATCTCATTGTTCTGCCCTACACAACCTGAAAATATTTAATGAGAATCAGCCTCTCTTGTTTCATTCCGTAAGCTTCTCACCTGCTTGGAATTGAGCTCCTTGGCATTATTAGGAGTGCTCCCTGGGCAACAGGACAGGCAGAGCTCATCCTTCCCTACAAACCCGTTTCTGATCCCCTTTCCCAGGCCTGCATCCTCAGTGAGGGGGCAGGAGCCCTGAGAGGTTGGCTTCCATGGAAAGCAAAGGGGTTCTGGATTATGCATGGTGGTACCTATATGCTACTTTATATTACCTTGAAATAACAAAAAAAAAAGCAGGTTTCGAGATCTGACATGCAAATATGCACACAGAACTGGATTATCTGCATGAGGACAAATGAGATTTCAAAGGCTGCTAAAAGGCTGCTTGAGTATTAAAGGGGACAATAGCAACAGCAAATATACTTCAAATAACTCCATGACAGTGCCATCTGCTTGTTTAACCTTGTACTAAGTTACTAAAACATTTTCCACAATTTTCCATCAAATACATTTTATAGACTCAAAAAAAAAAAAACAGGCAAAGGAAAATAAGGGAAATGATTTTTTTTTTTTGAGACGGAGTTTCACTCTTGTTGCCCAGGCTGGAGTGCAATGGTGCGATCTCAGCACACCGCAACTTCCACCTCCCGGGTTCAAGCCTCCCAAGTAGCTGGAATTACAGCATGCACCACCATGCCCGGCTAATTTTGTATTTTTAGTAGAGACGGGGTTTCTCCATGTTGGTCAGGTTGGTCTCGAACTCCTGACTTCAGGTGATCTGCCCACCTCGGCCTCCCAAAGTGCTGGGATTACAGGCGTGAGCCACCACACTCAGCCAATTTTTAAATATTTAATACAAACTTACAAATGTAAGTCATCCTAGGCCAAGAGTTCTTGACACAGGATCAAAATTTAAGCAAAAATGAGTGTAATCTGTTTGAAATTTTCACTAATAAAACTTTTTTAAAAGAAGTGAATGGGGCCAGGTGTGGTGGCTCACGCCTGTAATCCCAGCACTTTGGGAGGCCAGGGCGGGCAAATCACCTGAGGTCAGGAGTTTAAGACTGGCGTGACCAACATGGTGAAACCCTGTCTCTACTAAAAATACAAAAAATGAGCCGGGCATGGTGGCAGGCGCCTGTAGTCTCAGCTACTCAGGAGGCTGAGGCAGCAGAATCGCTTGAACCTGGGAGGCAGAAGTTGCAGTGAGCTGAGATCACGCTTCTGCACTCCAGCCTGGGTGACAGAGAAAGACCTGTCTCAAAAAAAAAAAAAAAAAGAAAAAGAATAAAATAAAATAAGTGAATAAGAGCATGTATACATATTTACATATTTTCCTCAGGAGGGATCCAAGGCATTCCTCAGATTTTCAAAGTGAAGGCATTCTTCTAGCTCTTCACTATCTTTCTCCAACTCCTGGGCTCAAGCAATCTGCCCGCCTCGGCCTCCTAAAGTGCTAGGATTACAGGCGTGAGCCATGGTACCCAGCCTGCCTGATAGTATATCTAATAGTTATTAAAAAGGCTTTAAAATTTTCAAATAGCTGGATTTTTAAATTTAAATTTAATTATTAATTGCAATTTTATTAATTATGTTCAGATTCAATTTCTCCTTTTTTAATTTACTGAGAATTTATTTGGCCCAGTATGTGATCAATTTACACTACACACACACACATACACACACACACACACACACCATGAACAAAGAGTGAAAACAACCCAAACAATAAGGGGGCAGTGAAACTGTGGCATATCCATGTGACAGAATAGCATGTAGTCACTAGAAATACTGTTTCTGAAAACCATTGAACACATAGAAGGAAAATACAAAACTATACATACATATGAGGCTGATTTTGTTAAAAAATATTTATAGTCACTGCAAAACTACTGAAAGAAAAGGCCAAATGGTGAAAAAAGATGTAACCAGTTTTCTGTAATAAGCAAGTGTTACATTTATAATCAGAAAAAGAAGTATTGCTTTTAAAATGAGTCTAGAAATATCTAGAAAGGTATCTTACCTTTTTAGAGAATAAACTCTAGGGAATAAATTTTGGTATACAGTAATTCTGATTTGTTAATGGTGTAACTCTTTATTATCTTTATTTTGAATATTGGCTCAGTCGTAGTGAATTAAAAATCTAGAATTGTGCTATTGTCGAATTCTCATTTCTTGGAGTTTTTCCTTTTTGCAATTTGTTGCTATGTTGTTTTATCACATAAAAGTCATATAATGCTATGACAATTACCATCTACATAGAGAGCTTAACACAGTGTCTGGCACATAGCACATACTCAATAAATGTCAGCTGTGGTTAGTAGTGGTATTTTGAGATTAATACTGCTACTTAGGTTTTCTTTTGTTTAACTGATGTATCTTTTTGCCAATCTTTTTTTTTCCTTTAAAGAACCTTATGAAAACTTGAAAGGAAATGCAGTAAAGGAAAACCATGGAAATGGAACTGGAAGTCAAAGACATGATTTTTAAGTCCTGGTTCTCTTACTTACTTGCTATGCGAACTCTGGGCCTCATTATACTACTCATATTGGTAGTGGGCCCCAGGAAAACCACCTTGCTGGACCTGGCCCTCCAGGCCTTTGCAAACTGCCTTGGTATAAGGGTTTCTTCCCTTGACCATCAGATTGTTCCCTAAATTAGAACTTAAAAGCCCTCAGTTACACATGACATGATGCAATTTTGTTAAAATGTAGTTAATCAGAGATGTAAAAAGTACAATTAGTTTTTAGTGATATGATTTGAAAGGACTAGGGTAGGTTATATAAAGGATACGAGGCTGGGAGTGGTGGCTCACACCTGTAATCCTACCACTTTGGGAGGCCACGGCGGGTGGATCGCTTGAGCTCAGGAGTTCGAGACCAGCCTGGGCAACATAGTGAAACTCTATCTCTACAAAAATACAAAAACTGGCCGGGTGTGGTGGCTTACGCCTGTACTCCCTGCTACCCTGGGGGGCTGAGACAGGAGGATCCCTTGAGCCCAGGAGGTGGAGGTTGCAGTGAGCCAAGATCACATCATTGCGCTCCAGCTGGGTGACCTTGAGACCTTGTCACAAAAAAAAAAAAAAAAAAAAGGATACGAAAAGCTACAACTATACCTACAAAGCCCTATACAGAGAGAAGCCCTTTGTCCCTCTCTCTACAGCTGCCTGACAAGCCATTCAGTCAACATGTGCCCTAGCTGTTACACAGGCTGGAACATGCTATCCCTCCACTAAGCAGAAGAGACAGCCCTAGCCCTCGCTCTCAGAGAAGAAGATAATGCCCACTTCCTCCTCTCTGCCCTCAGTGTATGTGTGCCAGGCCCTGCCTAGAGACATGAGGGCTATAACCCTAGCTACCCCTTTACTGATGGTCTGCCCCTTGCTAAAGATTATCAGAAGGCAGCCTGAAAAGTTGGCTTTTGTTTACTCATCTGATAAGTCTACGTTCTTTGCATAAGGGCTCATTGGGTTAGAAAAAAAGAATGCACTTTGAGATCCTCCATTAGGATAGAAAATTGGTCTTTAGTATATTAAAATAGTACTACACTTACCAACCAATGTTGTAGTAAGAGGATGAAGTAAAATAACAGATATGAAAGCATTTTGTAAACTCCAAAGTGATTTACAAACATAAAAGGAGTAGACAGGAAGAACAAGTTCAAGATATCTATAGTACATCATGATTGCTAAAGTTAATAACAATGTATCATATATTGCAAATTGCTGAGAGCAGATTCTCACCACAAAAGAAATGATAATGATGTGAGAGGATGCATATGTTTGTCTGATTTAGCCATTCCACAAGGTATACATTTATGAAAATATCGTATCGTATACCATAAATATATACAATTTTGTCAATCAAAAATATATCAATATAATAAAAATAAAAGGAGAATTGTATATAAATGATTATAAGCAACTGAACTTCAATAAAAATCTGTTTTTCTGTACATGGAAGTCTTCTTCGTGGAAGACTCCATATTATAAAGATGTCAATTATCCCCAACCTATCTATAGATTCAATGCAATCCTGTTTAAAATCCTAGCAGGTGTTGGCCGGGCGTTGTGGCTCACGCCTGTAATCCCAGCACTCTGGGAGGCCGAGGCGGGTGGATCACGAGGTCAGGAGATCGAGACCATCCTGGCTAACACAGTGAAACCCCGTCTCTAATACAAATACAGAAAAATTAGCTGGGCGTGGTGGCGGGCACCTGTAGTCCCAGCTACTCAGGAAGCTGAGGCAGGAGAATGGCATGAACCCAGGGGGCAGAGCTTGCAGTGAGTGGAGATCGTGCCACTGCACTCCAGCCTGGGCAACAGAGTGAGACTCCGTCTCAAAAAAATAAAAATAAAATCCTAGCAGGTGTTTTTATAGACATTAACAAGCTGATTCTAAAATGTTATGGAAAAGCAAAGGAATGAAAATAAGCAAAACAGCTTCAAAAAAGAACAAAGACGACTCTCATTACCTAATTCCAAGCCTTCCTATAAAGGTACAGTAATCAAGACAGTGTGGTATTAGCAAAATGATAGACAAAGAAACCAATGACACAGAAGATGGTATTAGCAAAATGATAGACAAAGAAACCAATGACACAGAAGAGTCCGGAAATAGACCCACATGTATATGGTCAATTGATTTTCAACAAAGGTACCAAGGCATTCAATAGGGAAAAGAAAGTCTTCATCAAATGGTTCTAGAACAATTTAACATCCCTATGCAAAATGAGTGAGCCTCAAACCCAAACCCTGTACCACACAAAAAAATTAACTCATAATTTACTTAAGTGTAAAAGACAGAGCTATAAAACTAATAGAGAAACACATAGAAAAAAAACCTTCGGGAACTTGAGTTAGATGAAGAACTCTTATTAATAGATAAGACAAAAGCACAAATCATAAAATAACACAATTGATAAACTAGACTTCAAAACTTAAAACTTCTACTCTTCGAGACTTGAGAAAATGAAAAAACAAGCCACAGACTGGGAGAAAATATTTGCAAAATACATATCTGATAAAGAACTGGTATCCAGAATATATAAACAACTCTCACAACTGATTAAGAAAATTAACAACTCAATTTAAAAACTAGACAAGGCCAGGCGCAGTGGCTCACGCCTGTAATCCCAGCACTTTGGGAGGCCAAGGCGGGCGGATCACAAAGTCAGGAGATGGAGACCATCCTGGCTAACACAGTGAAACCCCGTCTCTACTAAAAATACAAAAAAAATTACCCGGGCGTGGTGGCAGGTGCCTGTAGTCCCAGCTACTTGGGAGGCTGAGGCAGGAGAATTGCTTGAACCCAGGAGGCGGAGGTTGCAGTGAGCCGAGATCGTGCCACTGCACTCCAGCCTGGGCGAAAGAGTGAGACTCCATCTCAAAAGTAAAAAAAAAAAACAAACAAAAATTAGCCAGGTGTGGTGGGGCGCGCCTGTAAACCCAGCTACTCAGGAGGCTCAGGCAGTAGAACTGCTTGAACCTGGGAGGCGGAGGCAGCAGTGAGCTGAGATCACGCCACTACACTCCAGCCTGGGCGACAGAGCGAGATTCAGTCTCAAAAAAAAAAAAAAAAATTAAAACCACAATTGTCATATGATTCAGCAATCCTACTTCTGAGTATGTACCCAAAAGAATGGAAAGCAGAGCCTTGAAGAGATATTTGCACACCCATGTTCATAGCAGCATTATTCACAATAGCCAAGAGGTGGCGGCAACCCAAGTATCCATTAGCGGATGAATGGAACAAAATGTGGCATCCACATACAATGAAATGTTACTCAGCCTTGAAAAGGAAGGAAATCATGTCACAGACTATAACACGGGTGAACCCTGAAGACATTATACTAAGCACAAGCCAGTCACAAAAAAGACAAATAGTATATGATTTCCCTCATATGAGGCACTTAGAATAGTCAAAGTCATAGAGACAGAAAAAACAGTAGTTGCCAGAGGCTGGTGGGAAGGGAACATGGAGAATTCTTATTGAATGGGCATAGAATTTCAGTTTTGTCAGATGAAAAAATTCTGGAGATTGGTTGCACAATATGAATGTATGTAATACCACTGAACTATACATTTAAAAATGGTTTTAGAAGATACCAATAAACTACTTTAAAAAATGGTTAAGATGGTAAATTTTATGTTCTGTTTTTTAACCACCATTTTTTTGAAACTCTGAAATACCAAGTGCTAGAGCAGATACAGGGTCGCTGGAACTCTCATGCACTGCTGGTAAGAATGTGAAACAGTAGAGCCACTTTGGAGAACAGCTTGGCGATTTCTTATAAAGCTAAAGTTAATATACACTTACTGTATGATCTAGCAATTCCACTACTAGCTACTTACATAAAAACTGTATGTGAATGTTTATAGAAT
Source organism: Homo sapiens (assembly GCF_000001405.40). NCBI lineage: Eukaryota > Metazoa > Chordata > Mammalia > Primates > Hominidae > Homo > Homo sapiens. The sequence continues at coordinate 90,544,598 of NC_000015.10, read as the reverse complement.
ATTTATTCATAATTGCCAAAAGGTGGAAACAACCCAAATGCCCATCAACTAACTGATGAATGCATAAATTATCTACATCCATAGAATGGAATTCTACTCAGCAATAAAAAGAAATGAACTACTGATCAATGCAATGTAGTGGGTTAAATTATGGCCACCAAAAGAGATATCTTCAAGTCCTAAGCCCCAGAACCTGTGAATATGACTTTATTTGAAAACAGAATCTTTGCAGATGTAATCAAGCAAAGGTGAGATCATATTGAATTAGGGTAGGCCCTAAATCCAATGACTAGTTCTTTATAAGAAAAAGGAGAGGAAGATTTAAACACAGACACAGACAAACAATGAAGAAAGTCGTGTGATGACAGAGGCAGAGAGTAAGTGATGCAGCTACAAGTTAAGGACTGCCGCAGACCACGGAAGCTAGGAAGAGACAAGGAGGGATTCTTCCCCAGAGCATTCATGGTGCTGCTGACACCATGCTGATTTCCAACTTCTGGACTCAGAACATGAGAACATGAGAAAATAAATTTCTGTTGTTTTAAGGCACTAAGTTTGTGGTACTTTGTTACAGCAGCCCTAGGAAACTAACACACGCAACCACCCAGATGAATCTCAAATGCTAAGTGAGAGAAAAACTCAAAAGACTACGGACATTTGATTCCACTAATAGGACACTGGAAGAGTCAAAACTACAGATGGTGGTTTCCAGAGGCTGGAGGTGGGGGATGGAGAATACTTACAAACAGACACAAGGGAACCTTTTGGGGTAATGGAACTATTCTACATCTTCATTGTGGTGGTGATTATATGGCAAAGAGCTGTATACCTAAAAAAGGTATAAATTATATTGTATTTACATAATACCTCAAAAACATTTACTTAAAAAAAATCTGTGCTCTGGGACTCTCCTCAGTTTTTCAAGAATTTTTCTCAGTTCGGAAGAGGGCTCCCACCAGCCTAATTGGGGAGAATGTGAAGATCAAAATAAAAATAATAGATTAGCTTGCGCTTCAAGCCCACTCTTACTCTGTAGAGCATACTTTTATTTCAATAAATCTGTGCTTTCATTGCTTCAAAAATGAATAAATAAAATAATAGATTATAATAGATTGAATAAAATAGAAAATCATAAAACCATATACCGAGAGATAAAAAATGAATGTATAGATTGAAAGTTTAATGAAGATCAGGATAAAGTATCTCCTCGCAAAATATTTATTCATTACAAAGGGGAAAAGAGTTACTTTAAATGGGGAAGCCTGACAGACAGGCCACCTTTTTTTTTTTTTTTTTTTGAGACAGGGTTTGGCTCTGTCACCCAAGCTGGAGTACTGTGGCCCCATGTGAGCTCACTGAAATCTCTGCTCTCTGGACTCAAGCACTCAATCCTCCCACTTCGGCTTCCCAAGTAGCTGGGACCAGAGGCGTGCACCACCACATCTGGCCTTTTTTTTTTTTTTTCAGTAGAGACAGGGTCTCTCCATGTTGCCCAGGCTGGCTCAAACTCCTGAGCTCAAGCGATCTGCCTGCCTCAGCCTCCCAAAATGCTGGGATTACAGGTGTGAGCCACCATGCCTGGTGGACACCACCTTAATTGATAAAAGAGAACATCATCATTAACAGGACACATCAAAATCATGTCCCTAATGTGATACCATAACAGCCTCACTTCTTCTACGTTATTCCTGCCAAAGATGCATAGTCTGAATCAAATCACAAAGATACATTAGGCAGACCCCAATTGAGGGGTTATATCTACAAAAAAACTGGCCTGTAATCTTCAAATGTGACAGGATCACAAACGTTAAGAGTACTTGAATTAATGTCAAAAATAAAAGGCTGAAAAGCTGTTCCAGACTGAAGGAGACTGCAGGCAATAACTGCATGTGATTCTGAACTGAATCCTTTTGCTACAGAGGACAGCAGGGGGACATTTGGTGAATGCAGTCTGAAGATCAGATTGTAATAATGGATCACTGTTAATTTTCTTATCTTGATGGCTGTATTTTGGTTATATAGAACAACGTCTTTGCTTGTAGGAAAAACACAGTGAAATATTAGGGGGTGATGGGGCATCAGGTCAGGAACTTATTCCCAAGTGAAAAAAAAGTTATGTCAGCAGGGCACAGTAGTTCATGCCTGTAATCCCAGCACTTTGGGAGGACGAGATGGGCGGATCACCTGAGGTCAGGAGTTCGAGACCAGCCTGGCCAACATGGTGAGACACTGTCTCTACTAAAAATACAAAAATTAGCCAGGCGTGGTGACGCACGCCTATGATCCCAGCTACTTGGGAGGCTGAGGCAGAAGAATCTCTTGAACTCAGGAGCTGGAAGTTGCAGTAAGCTGAGATCGCGCTATTGCACTCCAGCCTAGGCGACAGAATGAGACTCGGTCTCAAAAAAAAAAAAAAATTAAGTGGACTATACTTCCAAGTATTGTGTAAGTTTGTGACTGTTGCAAAGAAAAACAAAACAAAACAAAACAAAAACAGTATGAAAAGAATCCTGGGGGCTACGCACGGTGGCTCATGCCTGTAATCCCAGCACTTTGGGAGGCCAAGGTGGGTGGATTACTTGAGGTCAGGAGTTCAAGACCAATTGACCAACATGGTGAAACCCCATCTCTACTAAAAATATAAAAATTAGCTGGGCGTGGTAGTGCACGCCTGTAATCCCAGCTACTCAGGAGGCTGAGGCAGGAGAATGCTTGAACCCAGGTGATGGAGGTTGCAGTGAGCTGAGATTGCACTACTGCACTCCTGCCTGGGCGACAGAGTGAGACTCCATCTCAAAAAAAAAAAAAGAAAAAAAGAATCCTGGGAAGGCCAAGGATTATCATTTTATCCCATTCCCCAATGCAACCGGAGGGGAACATCATAGTAAATTCTATATTCCTCTAAAGTTGACAATAAAGTAGCACAAAATTGGGATCTCAGACACAGCAAACTTGCACAATGCTGTATTTCCTGAAGTATGAAATCCCGCATAAGGCAGAGACCTATGTTATTTGGATACTAAATAACCCAGTGGGTTAATATATAAGGTAGTTTGATATATGAAGGTAGATCTCTAATACAGGCAGTAATATGGTAAAGAGTCCATTGTCATTATATTGAAGACAAGATTCCGGTGCAATAGGGTACAAATATGTTCATGTAGTACTTTTTCTAATCACCATTATATTTGGAGTTCCTATCAGCACTCTCAAATGGAAGTCCCCAACTTAAATAATACATTTGGCTTTATTTGACATCATCAAAAAAGTGAACCCAGTTTCTACCACAAAGAAATAAGACAGTGCTTTTAAAATGGTCAGGCATCCAAACAATCAATTAATGCTTCATCTTAAAGTTTATATCTCAACTTTAACACCGAATCTTAAATTGCATAATTAGAATGACAGGCTCCTAATGTTTCACAGATTGGGATATCTAAGCAGGTCTAATTCAGGTCTTAACAATAGTGCCATATACCATTGTCTGAAACACCAATTCCACATTGGTTTGAACAAGGCTTTCCACTGATGTGAACGATGAAAGCACCCGAGGACACTGCAGTAATCTAAATGCAATACAGACTACTTATCTGTGTCTTACACCTGCACTGAGCCATGTGGTAGCCACCAGCCACATGAAACTAGTGAAATGCGGCTGGTCCAAATTAAAGTATGCTTTGAGTATAAAATACACAACAGATTTCAAAGACATAGTACACAGAAAAGTATGTGAGATTTCTCAGTTTTTTTATGCTGATTGCATGTTAAAATGATCATATTTTGGATATATTGGATTAAATATTTATTTTTTTATTTTTATTTTTTTTTGAGACAGTCTCGCTCTGTCGCCCAGGCTGGAGGGCAGTGGTATGATCTCTGCTCACTGCACCCTCCGCCTCCTGGGTTCAAGCGATTCTCATGCCTCAGCTTCCCAAGTAGCTGGGACTACAGCTGTGAGCCACCACACCTAGCTAATTTTTGTATTTTTAGTAGAGATGGGGTTTCACCATGTTGACCGGGCTGGTCTCGAACTCCTGACCTCAGGTGATCTGCCAGCCTTGGCCTCCCAAAGTGCTAGGATTACAGGTGTGAGCCACCATGCCCAGCCAAACATTTATTTAAGTAATATTAAAATTATAGATGAGAAAGCTGCATTTTGAAAAATATAGATATTAAAATTAACCCCACGTGTTTCTTCTTCTTTAATGTAGCTACTAGAACATTTTAAATTACATATGCTTGTGTTATAATTCTACTTGCCAGTGCTGCCTTCAGCCATTTGTGAAATAACACTATCGTATGCTGTAGAAACTATGAGAGAGAATATTAATGGACTTTCCAAAAGAAGACTGAACTGTACCTAGGCCCAGCTTATCCTTCAAGATCTCATCTTTTTAGTGATAATCTTTGTCTATTTTTTACACTCCATTCAGCTTCAAGAAAGTACATATCTGGAGGTACCTGAAACTCTGACGCACTGCTCCGCAGCTGGCTCACATTTGGTAAGGATCCTCCATGGTACTGTGTAAGGCGCAGTTGCTGAAGCTTCTGAAATTGAACCTGGAAACAAAGTGATTTAAGAACGCTGAGAGGTAACAGCAAAGATCTAAAGAAGCATCAAAGTATAGTATTTTGTAGGGGAACGGTTCAAGAATGAAAGTCTTGTTTCAATTTCTTCTCGACGTAAGTGATCACACCCTCAAGGTTTCCGGTGCTTTCTGGGTTTTGATTACTCTATTTTCGGAAAGAGCTTACCCATGTTCCAAATGTCCCATATACCATGATAGTAACGTCCTCTTGCAAGGTCTTTGAGTGTGTATGTTTGGATACACTGGCATAATCTTTAACAACAATAAAAGAATTTCTGAAAGAAAAACTAAGCTACTATCCACAACCCTAACACATTAGCTGTTTTCCCTTCTTCATGCTCTTTTCCAGCCTCCGTTTACATTTATGGTAAGAACTGCATAGCTGTGATCATAAGATAGGTACAACCTAGCATGCTCATCATAAGCCTTTTCTATGCTATTACAGAGTAATTTTTAGTGGGTATATAACAGTTCTTCTGAATTATTTCCTTAGAACACCTTCCAAAGGGTGATTACTAAATCTCTGGATATGGGCCTTTTGGTGGCTCTCAACGTATACTGCCGAAATGCTTTCCCAAAGAGTTTATAATATACATATGAGAAAAGTTTCACCAAAAAAACTCATTGATATTGGATATTACCATTAATTGGGGTAAGGAAGGAGGTCAATTCAATAGGTATAAAATGGCATCCCACCATTTTAATATGCTTTTCTTTGTAAGTTCTTCCTTACTTCATTTTTCAAAAAGCAATAAACTGGTTACAGTTCTTGTAAATCTCAAAGTGGTCTGATCTGGTCTTTAAGAGTTCTGTTTCTAAAATAATAAATTAGCTCCATGGTTACATAACCCTTGGCACTATAATTCATATAGAGAAGAAAGGGTTATAGACGAGAGCCCTGGGGCAGATTTTTACCCTTCATCACTCTCTGTCTCTAACAATAATAAAACACTACCAGATCTAAGCCCCTAGGATGGGCCAGGTGCTGTTCTCGGACACTTGGCCCACTTCATCCCTAATCCTCCCCACAACCATGCAAATGAGACTGTACTCTCCTGCTGTTACAGACCTGGAGACCCAGACTCGGAAGTTCAGTGACTTGCCACGTGGCTAGCAGGAGGCTGAGCCACGGCTGTCAGCCTCAAAGCCCATATGCCCATTTCTGCCATGCTCTTTTCCTTTGTCCCATCTTTCCCTCGATGATCATACTAATTACAAACTCAAAAAAAAAAAAAAGGTGAAGTTTGGTTTACCAAAAGCATTGTTGAACCTATGAAGCTCTCTGATAATTTCCTTTTTACATTTATTATGAAAGATTTCAAATAGTATATGTGAAATAAAGACAAGTATAATGAAACCCCATCTATCCATCTTCTAGCTTAAAAATTACCAACTTATATACAATCATCTTTCATCTTTACCCTCTCCACTACCCGCAGTGCCTCACTGACAGAAATTTCAGACATGGTATCACTCCATATTTCAATATGTATTCTCAAAAGATAAAGACTTATACTTGTTTGGAAATTTTAAAGGCATACGAAATCCTTCAGTGGCTTTAACTTCCCTTATACCTGCTGTATTTGATTTCTTAAATGTACTGCACAGGGAGACAGTTATAACCTATTAATCAAAACCCAAATCTCAGAGTCAAACATGAGGAGGACGACATGGTGTTTTTTCCATCTAGGAGTGGAGTTATAGGAATAAAGTCTCTCAGCTTTCAATCTTAACATTCTAAAAGTACTTATCAGAAGCATCTGACTATTCTTGAAATTCTCTGGACAAAATTCTCAGCCATCTTGATTTAAAGCCTTTGATTTCTTTTTTGAAGGATCAATTTATCCATTGATTTACTGATACAAAAACTTAACTGTGTGTCAGGTAGTATGCCAGGCACTGGCTTACTAAGATGAATGTATGCTAAAGTTCCTGCCTTCAGAGAGTTCTCACAAAGGCTTCAACTCTTACCCAAAAGCCTTGACACTTCAACCAAACTAAGTTATAAATCCAGATAGGGACCTGCCCTCAACTGAGCTGAAGGCCGTCTCACAATCCCCCATAACTGCTCTCCCTCCCAAAGCACCTATTTCCGAAGCCTTCAAAGACTGTTAAAAAAGAACACGGCTAGCCTGGCCAACACGGTGAAACCCCGTCTCTACTAACTATTAGCCAGCTGTGGTGGTGCATGCCTGCAATCCTAGCTACTTGGGAGGATGAAGCAGAAGAATTGCTTGAACCCAGGAAGCAGAGGTTGCAGTGAGCCAAGATCATGCCACTGTACTACAGCCTGGGTGACACAGTGAGACTCTGTCTCAAAAAAAAGGCCAGGAGCAGTGGCTCATACCTGTAAATCCCAGAACTTTGGGAGGCCGAGGCGGGCGGATCACGAGGTCAGGAGATCGAGACCATCCTGGCTAAGACGGTGAAACCCTGTCTCTACTAAAAGTACAAAAAAATTAGCCAGGCATGGTGGTGGGCGCCTGCAGTCCCAACTACTCAGGAGGCTGAAGCAGGAGAATGGCATGAACCCGGGAGGCGGAGCTTGCCGTGAGCCGAGATGGCGCCATTGCACTCCAGCCTGGGCGACAGAGCGAGACTCTAAAAAAACAAAAAGCACTGGACCTGGAATCGGATGATGTGACTTTGTAACCTGCAACTCCCGTGTGGTTGGGCAAACAACTCTGACGCCTCCTGCACAAGATAAAGTGAGGATTAAATGACACAGACACAAGAGTGGTATGTCAAATGTAAAGCTCTGGTCAACTTAAGATATTATCATTATTGCTGATCTCAGCTACCTCTTCAAACTCTGAGTTATTTTGACATTTTCCTCTTTTGAAATTTAGACTCATTGAGCTAGAAAAAGAACTTTGAGACTGTCTTCAACACCTTCATGTTTACAGATGATGAACATGTGAACCAAAGAATGATTAGCCTAAGGCCGAGGTCACAGACTGGCAGCCCATAGGCCACATTTCACCTAGAGTGTTCTGTTTACCCACCAGATGTTGACCCATTCAGTGTATTAAATTTCAATTGAAAAAATCAGGACACTGCATAAAAATATGGATTTCCAACTTCTCCTGATTGAAAGATCAGACAACACTGAACCCATGTTCTTGCATGGCATCGCTGGATGAAGCTGAGAAGAGGCCACCCCCTTAGATCGTGTTTGCCAAGTCCTCACTGTACCCTATTATCCCTTCACGATGGCCCAGGATCAGCTGCCATGATCATCTCATTCCTGGCCCCTCCATTCATTTTCCTTACCTGCCTCACTTACTGAGTTAGTGACCTTTGGCCTACAGTCACACATCTTAGTGGAATTTTCTTTAATGCCTACAGGAAATGAGATCCAGGCCTCATTAATTCCTTTTTGAGAAAAGTCTCACAATAGCCAACACGATTACAATCCAAAATCCCAGCGGGTCCTTTCAGAGACATTGACAAGATAATTCTAAAATTTATGGATGTGCAAATGACCTAGAATAGTCAGAGCAATTTTTTTTTTTTTTTGAGACAGGGTCTCTGTTGCCCAGGCTGGAGTGCAGTGTCACAATCACAGCTCACTGCAACCTCCACCTCCCAAATACAGGCACGCGCCACCACGCCCAGCTAATTTTCGTTTTTTTTTTTTAGAGACGGATTTCACCATGTTACCTAGGCTGGTCTAGAATTCCTGGGCTCAAGCTATCTACCCGCCTCAGCCTCCCAAAGTGCTGGGATTACAGGCATGAGCCATGGCACCTGGCCAGAGCAATTTTCAAAAAGAGCTAAGTTAGAGGACTTAAATTACCAGGTTTTAAGCCTTATTATAAAGCTATAATATACAGACAGTGTGCTATTGTCAAAAAGACAGATATACAAATCACTGGAACAGAAAAGAGTCTAAAAATAAACCAACACTTATATGGCCAACTGATTGCAACAAAATTGCCACAGCAATTCAATGGGCAAAGAAAAGTCTTTTCAACAAATGATACTGATACCTTACAGCAGGGAGTAAAAGCAGCTGAAGATCCTTATGAGGGAAATTAAAGTAGCTAAGTATACAGACATTCACTGTGATAGCTAGATTCAAACCCTGGCTCTACCACTTACCAGCTCTGCAACCATGCCTCTCTAAGCCTCAGTTTACTCATCCACAAAAATGAGGAAAATTCCAGATATACACACCATAGGCTCATTTTGAGGACTATGTGAGATAACAACATGTGAAAGGGATTACAGTGCCTCGCAAAAGGAAAGTCCTCAATATTTAGCCCAAACCTAATATTTCCATCTTCTCTCTCTCCTCCATCCTGAGAGCTCGCTAATCTATGACATATCTATGTCTTATCATTGGTTTATTTTCACATGAAAATAATGAGTCTGCGCAAATATTCAAGTCCAATCAACACTCCAGGGTGATATGCTGAGTTAGTCCTCTGGTTCCTCAACACAAGTTGCTCTTCACAGCCAAACTTCTGGAATAAGTTTCCAACCCTATCTCCATTCCCCACCCCCGTCCACTCCTCAACGTCTCACAATTAGCCTTTCACCCAGCACCCTGAGAATACAGCATCTCTCACCGAGGTTACTGATGACCTCCTCTGATGACCTCCACATGACTAGACCAAAGGACACATCTTTTGTGTCAGACCAAGTCAGCAGCACTAGGCTCAGCTGGTCGGCATTCCCTCCTCTTCATAAGAGTACTCCTGGCTTTCTCCTGCCCCTCTGGTTGCTCTTCAAGCCTTCTTGGCCAGCTCCTCCACCTCCCTTTCAAATGGTGTAGTTCCTTAGTTCCTTTGGCTTCTCCTAGGCCCTCCTCATGGTTCACTTTCTTTTTTTTTTTTTTTTTTTGAGACGGAGTTTCGCTCTTGTTGCCCAGGTTGGAGTGCAATGGCACAATCTCGGCTCACTGCAACCTCCGCCTCCCAGGTTCAAGCGATTCTCTTGCCTCAGTCTCCTGAGTAGCTGGGATTACAGGCACTCGCCACCATGCCTGGCTAATTTTTTGTATTTTTAGTAGAGACGGGGTTTCTCCATGTTGGTCAGGCTGGTCTCAAACTCCTGACCTTAGGTGATCCGCCTGCCTTGGTCTCCCAAAGTGCTGGGATTACAGGCGTGAGCCACCGCGCCTGGCCTCACAGTTCACCTTCTGACAAGGGTAACAAACTCAAATGCCTACAGCTGCCAAGCAGGGAATCTAAGTGAAGCAGTCTGGGATCACTGCAAAGAATACCTTAGAGGGTGGTAGGGACTGTGGCAAACTGAAGACCACATCCATGGCCTTTCTAATGGGGCAGCCACCATTCAGCTCCAGGCAACTGGTGCCGTCCAGAAATGTCGGGTGAGTGTCGTTGGATTATCTCATTTTTCAAAAGAAACCAAAGTCCAGATTTTACTATAAAATCCCAATATTCATTGTTAGCCCTAATTAAAACCAACCAACCAACCAACTAACCACATTTTGGGCCAAAACCAAAAACATGTTAGAGGGCAAAATACAGAACTTAAGCCACCAGTTTACAATATCTGTTCCATCAATTCTTCCTAGGCAGCCAAATCTACTTCTGTGGCTACATAACAAAAATTCCCCCATTTTTCTCAGTAGCTCAGCCTTCCTTCTCGAGCTGCAAAACCATCTAAACAGCTGCCTGCTGGACCATCTCTACTTATGTGCCTCACAGGCACCTCAAACTCAGCATTTCCGCACAAACCTGCTCCTGCCAGTGTCCACTTAATGAAGAACACCCTGAAATGGTTCCAGCCCTCCCTCTTTCTCACCTTCCTCACCCATTCACAAAATCTGGCCCTTTCCACCTCCTAAGTATCAATCTGCTCACCGCTCTGCCTCCCGACTGCCACCATCTTAGTAAATGCCACTATCACATCTCCTACTAAAATCCTCCTCCTCCTCTCTTCTACCCACCACGCTGGAGCTAGAGGAATCTTTTAAAAAAGCAAATCTCACATAGTTTAACCCCTTCAGTGACTTCCCATTGCCCTTAAGATCAAGTTCCAAATCCTGTCTCTACAACCTGATCCCTATGAATGCCTCCAGCCTCATCTCACATCCCCTCCTCATCCTCTTTTACTGAATCTCTGTTCTCTGTACCTGCAACATATTCCCTCCCTCAACACACAAACCCTCGAATGCCTCCCCCACTCCCCCTGAGCCTTTAGGCCACTGGAAGAGGTGAGAATTCCCTACCATACAGGTCCAGAGCTCCACCTACTTCTGTTTTGGTGATATTCACCAAAATGTGTCCTTACTTATTAAATGAATGTCTTCCTCATTAAATCCTAAAATCCACTGGGACACTGTGTTTTGCTTGCTCATTACTATATACCCAGTGTCCATCCTAACCCCTGGCACACACTAAGGACTCACTCAGTAAGTAAATTTGTGGAACAAATCAGTAAGATCTTTAAAGGACAGCCCCATGTTTTCACTCTTCTCCCTCACAAACACACACCCCATTAACAACAAAGTAGGCACTCAAATACTGACAAATGAATACATTAATAAATGAACAACAGAACAGCCTCTTCCCAGGCATACCTGCAACCACTTTCTTCCCTTTTTTTTTTTTTTTCCTAGGCGGAGTCTCGCTCTGTCGCCCAGGCTGGAGTGCAATGGCGCGATCTCGGCTCACTGCAAGCTCCGCCTTCCGGGTTCACGCCATTCTCCTGCCGCAGCCTCCCTCCTGCCGCAGCCTCCCGAGTAGCTGGGACTACAGGCGCCCGCCACCATGCCCGGCTAATTTTTTTGTAGTTTTAGTAAAGACAGGGTTTCACTGTGTTAGCCAGGATGGTCTCGATCTCCTGACCTCGTGATCTGCCCGCCTCGGCCTTCCAAAGTGCTGGGATTACAGGCGTGACCCACCGCGCCCGGCCTTTTTTTTTTTTTTTTTTTTTTTTTTTTTTTTTTTTTGAGATGAAGTCTTGCTCTGTCGCCCAGGCTGGAGTGCAGCGGTGCGATCCCGGCTCACTGCAACCTCCACCTCCTGGGTTCGAGCGATTCTCCTGCCTCAGCCTCCCGAGTAGCTGGAACTACAGGCGCACGCCACCATGCCAGGCTAATTTTTGTACTTTTAGTAGAAACGGGGTTTCGCCATGTTGGCCAGGATGGTCTCGATCTCTTGACCTCGTGATCTGCCCGCCTCAGCCTCCCAAAGTGCTGGGATTACAGGCGTGAACCACCACGCCCGACCCCACTTTCCTCCCTCTCTTTACCATTCCAGGTACCACCACTCAACTCCTCCTCCTAGTACTCCCTTCTCAAAATTTTCCCACTGCTTCCTGATAATGCCGGACTTCTAAAGCTAGAGAAAATCCTCTACAGTCTAGTCTATCCTACCCACTAGGTGAATAGGATAAGTAACGCCTAGGTGAATAGGTAAGTAAGGCCAACTCTGAAGGATTGCTTTGATCATGTAGAGAAGAACTTGAATCCCAACACAGGCTCAGAGGGGAAAGAGCATCTAGATAGATCAGTAATGTCTGCCCTATCGATTAGCATGTCTGTCATGGGCTAGTAATGAAAAGTCAGGAATTAGCATGTCTGTCATGGGCTAGTAATGAAAAGTCAGTATATCTGCCACCCAGTTACCAATTATGAACTAGGCAGATACTCCTCCAACTGGGATCTTTGGATCCTTAGAGACGCATTCTTCATAGACATGCTGGGAATCTAAGAGTTCTCTATGAGAAGTGTTCTAATTTTGTGATTTCTTCATGAAAATAACCCTTAAGATTTTTAAATAAGCAAACATTAGTAGCCAAATTCAGTGTTATCATTTACAGATGTGTTTATGAACACGGTGGAGCC